>NC_000001.11:212881556-213033071 GCF_000001405.40 Homo sapiens
ACGAACTCCTTGGCCAGACTGGTGTCGAACTCCTGACCTCGTGATCCACCTGCCTCAGCCTCCCAAAGTGTTGGGATTACACGCGTGAGCCACTGCGCCCAGCCAAGAATTTCTTAATGCAAAAAACATAAACCCTAAAGAAGTATATTGATAAATATGATTATATTAAAATAATCTTTTCTAGGAAGACATTATTGAAAAAGGGAAAAGACAGGACTTAGACTATGAGAAAATTGTCTGCAATGCATATAACCAACAAAGGATTAGTATTAGTTAAAAATAACTCCTACAAATCAGAAAGAGCAAACAATCCAAGGACACCAGAAGACATTTGTGTGTCTGTGTCTGTGTGTATTGTTCTTATGTGATATTCAGCCTTAACAGTAATCAAGGAAATACAAATCAAAGCCAGAGTAAGATGTAATATCACACACATTCACATTGGCAAAATAATTTAAAATCTGGTGAAAACAAATTTGGCAAGGATGTGGAGCAGTAGGAACTCTGCTGGTAGTATGAACGGATAACAACTACTTTGAAGAGCAAATTGCTTATATCTAGAAAGTAGAAGGTCTACTCTAGATATATACTTAGAGAAGCTCTTATGTATAAGAACAAAAACATAATACTCATTGCAGTCTTGTTTTAAACAGTGAAAAACTAAAAAAGAAACCCTTAAGTGTCTATTGACAGGACGAGATAATTAAATTGAAGTATATTAACATAATAGAATACTGTACAACAGAAAACTAATGAACTACAACAAAAAATATCAACATGGATACATCTCAAAACCATCTCAATATAGTGTAACAAGAGCAAGTTGCAGATGGATACAAATAATATTTATATACTTACAGAATACTTCTAATTGTTTATGAATATGCATATATGGTAATATATAAAATGATAAGCACCAAGCTCAAGCTAGGGCTTGACTTTGGTAAAGAATAGGATTGGGAAAAGTCTGAAAAATGAATCTGAAGCAAAGATGGAAAAATGTTAATGTTTGCCAAATCCGGGTGATATATGAGGATATTTGTTGTATTCTCTATGCTATTTTATATTCTTAAAATATTTAATAATAGATAAATAATAAACTTAAGTTTTAGCTTAATTTAGGTTAAGAGTCTTACCTAAATTCATACAATACATGCTAGGAGACATCAGGATTCAAACCTATCCTGTGCTTCTCATAGCCAGTTGTTTTTATTGTTCACTTCTAAAGTATCCTTTGGGAGGCGAGGCAGTAGAATTGCTTGAACCCAGGAGACGGAGGTTGTAGTGAGCTGAGATTGCACCACTACTCTCCAGCCTGGGCAACAGAGCAAGGCTCCATCTCAAAAAAAAAAGTATTAACTGATTTTGTCTTATGAATTTTCAGTAAGTCTTTGATACAAAAAGGTAAGATCTCTGAAGCACAGTTTCTGTTAGGCTTTGCACATTTGTTGGCTGTAGTAGTACATTGTAGGAATTCAGTAAACAATCCATTGCTTGACTGGTTGCCATATATGTGTTGCATGTGGGGGTATGATTTATGGTCAGTATATCTCAATCTAAATAATAATAGTATTAGGACAGAGTTCTGCTATTACATCTTTAGTACAGTTAGGTGTTAAATTCATTAGTCCAGGTTCTGAAAGGGAATGACAATGGTTTTTAATTTCCTTTATCAACTGTGTTAAGAAATGTATTTCCACAATTGTCACATAATATTCCATGTCACTTCATGAACTGGTAAATGACACACTTTTAGTATTCTCTTTATTATTGTAGGTATCATGACTTAATATCATCTTTATTTATTATTGTAGGTATCATGACTGGTGCCTTTTATTCAGTCTCAACGTTATTAAATCAAATGATATTGACATATTATGAGGTAAGCTTCTGCTTATATCAGATTGCATGCCTGGCCAAAAATTTTTCTTTAGCAATATAATTGTCGTTAGCAGGGTCATGAGATTAAGGGTTATGACATTGTTGCTATCAAATATTTACATTTGTTTTAATTGAGAATATATTTGTTAAAAAATGAAATTTCCACAACTTTATATATCTAATTGGCTTTTATTATCAATTCGTTTATTGGACAGCATCCCATCTAAAGATTTAGAAAGGTACTGATGAGCTGAGCAGAGGAGATGGGCTTTATAGGCAGAAAAAGGCTGAAGAAAGCAGAAACAAGGAACAAAGAGCAGATTGGTTGCTACAAAGTTACTTTCCTTATAGGAGTAAAACAAAGGGGACTGGGCCCCATCTGATAGGTTGCTATGAATCTCCTTTTTTTTTTTTTTTTGGAAAAGTGGCCCATTTTAAAGTTCAGTTTGATTATGTGACACCTAGCACTAGTGACACCATTCTATGTGGTCTGGTCTGTTGGGCCTACTGTGGGAGCTCACTCCAAAACAATGGCCTCCCATCATTTTAATTTAACATATTTAATCCAGTTTATAAAGCACATAGTATGGCCAGGCATAGTGGCTCACGCCTGTAATCCCAGCACTTTGGAAGGCCGAGGCGGGTGGATCACCTGAGGTCGAGACCAGCCTGACCGACATGGAGAAACCCTGTCTCTACCAAAAATACAAAATTAGCTGGGCATGGTGGCGCATGCCTGTAATTCCAGCTATTCGGGAGGCTGAGGCAGGAGAAACACTTGAGCCTGGGAGGTGGAGGTGGCGGTGAGCCGAGATCGTGCCATTGTATTCCATCCTGGGCAATAAGAGTGAATCCCCATTTAAAAAAAAAACAGGCTGGGCGCCGTGGCTCACACCTGTAATCCCAGCCAAGATAGCGCCACTGTACTCCAGCCTAGTGACAGAGTGAGACTCCATCTCAAAAAAACGAAACAAAACAAAATACACACACACACAATATGGAAAGCAGAAGTTACTATCCCTGTGACAATACCTAAGTTTATTTTTAGGAAATAATATGATTGGTTATATGGAAAAAGACAAAACATTTTAAGGGAACTCAGCATAAATATAGATAAATAAATATCAAGTTTTGATTGACGTATCTGCTTTTGAAAGGATAAAGCAGTTGTACTATGTAAAAGCTATCGATTAACCTCCTTTTCAGATATCTATACAGTGTCATACCTTGCTTAGTGACAGGAATACCTTCTGAGAAATTCGCTAGGCAATTTCATTGTTGTGTGAATATCATAGAGTGTACTTACGCAAACCTGATGGTAGAGCCTGCTACATACCTAGGCTACGTGGTATAGCCTATTGCTCCTAGGCTACAAACCTGTATAACATGTTATGCTACTGAATGTTGTAGGCAGTTGTAATACAATGGTAAGTATTGTGTATCTAAATATATCTAAACAGAGAAGGTAGAATAAAAATACAGTATTATAATCTTACAGGATCATACTGTATATATGATTCAGAGTTGACCTAAATGTAATTATGGAGCACATGACTATCTATACTTAAGAATCCTAACAAAAATCATTGTACTTCTAACCATAGAGGATTAAGGAAAATTTACCTTTTTTATTTCTTCTATTATTTTAGGCTTTTTTTCTGGTTTTAAAATATAATGCTTTTATATATTCTTTACCTGCCCTCCCCTCCCACACTGACACATGTACTAAATCTTCCTACTGTGTGCTTAGTTTTATCTAATTATTTTCATTGACTATGAAAAGGTGTGGGAATGTGAAGAGTCTGAATTAGTTAATCCATTTATTTGATCAACTTCTTACGCAAATTTTTTTCAGGGAGAAGAAGTCAATGCTGGAAGGATTGGGCTAACGCTAGTAGTAGCTGGAATGGTGGGCTCTATTCTTTGTGGCTTATGGCTGGATTATACTAAAACATACAAGTAAGTGAAAGTAAATACATGTATGGTGTATAACCAAAGGTATTTTGATTTTAAAGGACAATTTGCTTTTTATTTCAAGAAATTTAAAACATGTTATTACTTAAAGATACGGATTCTAAACACTAGTAGGTTCTCTTCACTTAACAAGTGTTTCTTTTTTTTTTTTTTTTTTGAGACGGAGTCTCGTTCTGTCGCCCAGGCTAGAGTGCAGTGGCGCAATCTCGGCTCACTGCAACCTCTGTCTCCCGGCTTCACGCCATTTTCCTGCCTCAGCCTCCCGAGTAGCTGGGACTACAGGCACCCGCCACCATGTCCGGCTAATTTTTTTATATTTTTAGTAGAGACGGGGTTTCACCTTGTTAGCCAGGATGGTCTCGATCTCCTGACCTTGTGATCCACCCGCCTCGACCTCCCAAAGTGCTGGGATTACAGGCGTGAGCCACCGCGCCCAGCAACAAGTGTTTCAATACTCTATGTATTGTATTATTTTATTGGTCACATTTATTTCAATTCTGAGAACTTGGATACCTTATGAGCCCCTTCTTTCTAACAGTACTCATACCTACCACTTCCGAAGGAATTATTTCTATTCTAAAAAGAGCCATTTCTGAGAAATATTTGACTTTTGATAGACTTTATCTTGTTCTTTTTTTTTTTTTTTTTTAGGTGGGGTCTCACTCTGTCACCCAGGCTGGAGTGCAGTGGCACCATCTTGGCTCACTGCAACTTCTGCTTTCCAGGCTCAAGTGATTCTCCCACCTCAGCCTCCTGAGTAGCTGTGACCACAGGTGTGCGCCACCACACCCGGCTAATTTTTTGACTTTTTGATAGAGACAGTGTTTCACCATGTTGCCCAGGCTGATTTTGAACTCCTGAGGTCAGGCAATCTGCCCACCTCAGCCTCCCAAAGTGCTGGGATTACAGGCATGAGCCACTGCACCTGGCCTATGTTGTTCTTTTTTTATGTTGTGGGCTTAAATACAAAAACAAAAAAGTAGTTCTTTCCAATCAAAAAATTATTGTTGAGCATAAGGCTTTATTTTGGTAAGAACTTTTTGGCTAAAGTACGCCCAGACTACAGTACCACTTAACTGTAATATAATGCATAATGTGAAAATGCTGGTTTGACACAATGTCTTATGCCTGTAATCCCAGCATTTTGGGAGGCCAAGGCGGGTAGATTGCTTGAGGCCAGGAGTTCGAGACCAGCTTGGGCAACATGGTGAAACGCCATCTCTACTGAAAATACAAAAAATAGTCAAGTGTGGTGGTGGGCACCTGTAATCCCAGCTACTCAGGAGGCTAAGGAAGGAGAATTGCTTGAACCCAGGAGGCAGAGGTTGCAGCGAGCTGAGATAGCGTGCCACTGGTCTCCAGCCTGGGTGACAGAGCAAGACGCTGTCTAAAAAAATAAAAAAAAAAGAATATACTCTGTTAATTGTACATTATATGGAACCACCAAAAGGCTAATACCAAAGAAAATGAATGATACCAACTGGGAGACTAAGAAAGGGGTTTCAGAGGCAGCATATTTTGCTCTGGGAGTGAAAAGAATCACCACATTTTGTAACATGCCAAAACTTACCCCTGTACTTGGAAATGAATGAATGAAACTATTAAGGAATAAATGAATGAAATATGGAACTGTGTCCCGTGTACCTTTCAAGGCTCAAGATATATTTGATATTATTAGTCTAAACGCTACCAAAAGTATCTCTAATCTTGAAATTCTCCATATTCTTCCATAATTTAAGACAGCACTTGCCTTAGCTTCATTATTTTAAAATGATAGCTTAGAGTGAAACCTACTTGATATATAGATGAAGGGAGCATATGTAAAGGATTATATTTCTTAAGTCTTTCATCCGTTATACATTTAGAAAACTTGATAGGCATAGATGTGTGTTCTTTGCCACTGTGGCTTCCTTCTCAGGGTAACTGCCATTCATTCACCAAACTCCTGTTGTGTGCATCTTTCTTAGATGAAAATTATGGCTGGCATTATGTGATCCCTGTTCTTAAGATGTTTGTGGTCTAAATGGAGCAAATAAGGCATTCACATGTGAAAAGTTAAATAATATAACAAACTAAAATAGATGTCATAAGTTTTATAGTGCCAGTATGATAAGGGAATTTGGAAGAAAGAGAGACTCTTATAAACTGGTGTCGTTACAGAAGGCATTTGGAAGAGGTAGAATTTGATCTGAATCTTGAAATGTGAATAGGGAACTATCCCATTTGGTGGCATAAAAATGATTTTATTCCTATAAAAGGATCCTATCTGAGCATTCGATATGGTGTGGTTTTCTGGTGCTGCTGAATCTTAAATTAAAAATGCTTTAAAATTTGTGCTTTGGTGGATACATATTTCCATGGACAAGAAGGGGTGAACTTTGAAAAACAAAGATTCATTACTGAACAGGTAAGAGTGATGATTTTTGTATTCCTAGGAGAATCAGACAAAATACTAACAGCTTTGTTGTTTTTGTTTTAGACAGACTACTCTGATAGTTTATATTTTGTCTTTTATTGGAATGGTTATCTTTACTTTCACATTGGACCTTAGATATATTATCATCGTGTTTGTTACTGGAGGGGTGCTTGGGTAAGTATCAGATGTGTTTAGGAGGAATGATAGCATGCTGTTATAATTCTGAAGTATTATTACTCTGGTCTTTAATTTTTTCAGTTCATCCAAAGTTTCTTCAATATTTTAAACTTTAAAGGATTCATTCTATGCATATAAACATGTAATTCTTAAGAACTATTAAAAATTATTTAAAATTGGTTTTTGGTATACCATAGGTAAAAAATGGATGAGCCTTACTTAATCTGTGTAACTTTATTTGGTTACAATCAACTTATAAAACTAGAAGTAAATTTTTCTCAGAAAAAAATGTGTATTTGTTGCTTCCAGTTCTGTAACCTTGAGCTGATTGGTCAATGATAATAGTTCCTTACTTTGACATAGCAACTTCAAAATATTCACTTATTTGGTCATTAGAATAAGCCCGAGAGGCAGAATGATTGCATCAGTATGTGATTGTGACTTTCTGGTAGTTCTTTCTGTAATTCTGGATTTATTTTCCTAGCTTCTTCATGACTGGTTACCTCCCTTTGGGTTTTGAATTTGCTGTTGAAATCACTTACCCTGAATCTGAAGGTACTTCATCTGGTCTTCTTAATGCTTCTGCACAGGTAAACCTCTGATTTCTCTAAACCTGAGATGATTATTATACCAGATATTCTAGTGAGTAATGAGTTTGACCATGGTTTTATTTGTTGTTGTTGTTGTTTTGTTTTTTGGAGACAGAGTCTTGCTCAGCCATCCAAGCTGGAGTGCAGTAGTGCAGTCATGGCTAACTATAGCCTCAAACTCCTAGGCTCAAGCAATCCTCCCCCCTCTGCCTCCAGAGTTTTTGGGACTGCAGGTGCACACCAGCATGCCCAGCTAAATTTTTTTTGTTATTTTTTGTAGAGATGGTGTTTTGCCATGTTGTCCAGGCTGGTCTCGGACTCCTGGGCTCAAGCAATTCGCCTACCTCAACTCCCAAAGTGCTAGGATTACAGTGGGTGTGAGCCACTGCACCCAGCCTGACCGTGGTTTTTGTTTTAACAATTCAACTTTTCAATGAATGTTTCTAGAAACCAAATCATATAACCAAAATAAGAAAAGTTCTGGTGAAAACTTTATACTTGCTTTAAATAATTTAACTTAATAACGAATGATTTTTCTTATTGTATTTTAGATATTTGGAATTTTGTTCACATTGGCTCAAGGAAAGCTCACATCAGACTATGGTCCTAAGGCAGGGAACATTTTTCTCTGTGTCTGGATGTTTATAGGCATCATATTAACAGGTAAATTAGGGCGTTTGCCTGGCAAAAGGACTTGTGTCATGTGTTAATTTTCATATATATTGCTTCTCAATAGCTTGACAGAACTCAAGGGGAAAAAAATGAGATAAAAAGCAGGACATTATTTGTTTTCTTCTAAAGACATGAATCTCTTACTTCATTTTGCAGATTTCAAATTCAATACAGTTACTCTGCATAGCAAGCAAAACTGTTATAATAAGAGTAGTAAAGGCTGGGTGTGTTGGCTCATGCCTGTAATCCCAGCACTTTGGGAGGCAGAGGCGGGCAGATTACTTGAGGTGAGGAGTTTGAGACCAGCCTAGCCAACATGGCGAAACCCCGTCTCTACTAAAATTAGCCAGTTGTGGTGGCGCACACGTGTAGCCCCAGCTACTTGGGAGGCTGAGGCAGGAAAATTGCTTGAACCCAGGAGACAGAGGTTGCAGTGAGCCAAGATCACACGAGTGCACTCTAGCTTGGGCAACAGCGAGACTCTGTCTCAAAAAAAAAAAAAAAAAAGAGTAGTAAAGACCTGGAGTTGGGAAGACCTGGCCTCAAATTCCGATTCTGTTGCTCAGTGGGAGTGTGACTTTAGACCCGTTGCTTAACCTCTCAAATCCTCCTTTCCTTATTTATATAATAGAGTGTTAAAGCCTGCTTTATAGGGTTACTGTGAGGATTAATTGAAATGGTTCATGAAAAGTTCCTAGTGTCTGGCACCTGGGACGTGCCTAACATGTGTTACTATTGTTATAATGTGGTAGAGATGGTAAGCAGTCAAGTGGTAGTGGTGGAAATAGTATGTGGAATCCTTAGCTAGTGCTTATACTTCTTAGGTATAGTCATCATAGACATGGGCAGGAAAGAAAATAGTGCTCAATCTCCAGAGAAAGAGAATGTCAGAGAATTTTTATCCATAGTTTGCCCATGCACATGGGTGTACAATAGATTTGGAAGCAGAACTTTTTCCAGGTGCATACTTTTAAAATGTCATCATTCCCTAAACATTATAGTATAACAGCTATTTACATTGTATTAGGTATTAGTAATCTAGAGATGGTTTAAGTACATAGGAGGATGTGTGTACGTTATATGTAAATACTTCCCAGGGGCGTCCAATCTTTTGGCTTCTCTGGACCACATTGGAACAAGAAATATCTTGGGCCACACATGAAATACTCTAATACTAATGATAGCTAATGAGCTAAAAAAAAAAAATTGCAAAAAATCTCATAATGTTTTTTAAAAATTTGTGAGTTTGTGTTAGGCCACATTCAAAACTGTCCTGGGCCACATATGGGCTGCAGACCACAGGTTGAACAAGCTTATACTACACCATTTCATATAAAGGCCTTGAGCATTCGTGGATTTTGGTATCTGAGGTGGGGTCTTGGAATCAATCCCCCGCAGATACCAAGGGAGGTTGTGCTTCGTTGATCTGGTTATAACTTAGTTGGAGGATCTGGTTATAACTTAGTTGGAGAATCTATCAGAAGGATGTGAATCAGAATTTCTTCTACTGTTTGTGGAATACCTGATCATTCTTTGTGAAACCTTCAATATGAAATCTCACCAGTGATAGACATTTTGGATATACACAACTACCTAAGGTCGCTCACTCAATTGTATGAATGATAGGAACCTGAGCATTCATTCACGAAGCTAAAAGAAAGTGAATGCACTCTGTTTCCTCAAAGAAAAACATCTTATCACAGGGAGTTTTTCCCCCTGTCCAGTTAGTAAAATAAAACATACAAAACTGTGAAATATGTAATACATTAACTGCTTTAACTATTGTTCTTTCATAAGTAATTCCATGTTGGTTCTTAATTCCTAGGCAAGTACTATATCTTATCTAAGATTATTACTATTGGCTGGACGTGGTGGCTCATACTTGTATTCCTAGCACTTTGGGAGGCTGATACAGGTGGATCATTTGATGTCAGGAGTTCAAGACCAGCCTGACCAACATAGTGAAACCGTGTCTCTACTAAAAATACAAAAAACTTTAGCCAGTTTTATGGGCACACACCTGTAATCTCAGCTACTTGGGAGGCTGAGGCAGAAGAATTGCTTGAATCTGGGAGGCTGAGGCAGAAGAATTGCTTGAATCCGGGAGGCGGAGGTTGCAGTGAGTGGTGAAGATCACACCACCACTCCAGCCTGGGTGACAAAGTGAGACTCCGTCTCAAAAAAAAAAACAGTATTATTGTTATACCAAAGAAGGGAGCAGTTTTGTAATCCTCCTTCAAATTACTTTTACAAGAGATTCATGAATACTAATTCAAACAAATCAAGTCTAGAAAATTAAGAAGTGAAAATAGATCTTTAAAATTAGTTTTACATTGATGCTTTTACCATCTCAAATGGTATTCCCTGAGGCACAACAATATTGAAATCAGGGCCCTGATTAATACCCCCAAATTATTACCCCTACAGTGGCCTCCAGGTGTTTAAGCAAAAGGAAGAGTAGTAAATCTCTCCTCTTAAATCAGAAGCTAAAAATGATTAAGCTTAGTGAACAAGTCATGTCAAAAGCCCAGATAGGCCAAAAGCTAGTCCTTTTGCACCAAACAATTAGCCAAGTTGCTAATGCAAAGGAAAAATTCTTAAGGGAAATTAAGAATGCTACTCCAGTGAACACAAATGATAAAACAGCCTATTGATATGGAGAAAGTTTGAGTGGTCTTGTTAGAAGATCATACCAGCCACAACATCGCCGTAAGCCAAAGCCTAATCTAGAGCAAGGCCCTAACTGTCCAATTCTGTGAACGTTGAAAGAGGTGAGAAAGTTGCGGAAGAAAAGCTGGAAACTAGCAGAGGTCAGTTCATGAGGTAAGGAAAGAAGTTGTCTTCATAACATAAAAGTGCAAGGTGAAGCAGCAAGTGCTGATGTAGATGCTGAAGTAGGTTATCCAGAAGATCTAGCTAAGATGATTGATGAAGGTGGCTACAATAAACCACAAATTTTCCATGTAGATGAAACAGGCTTATACTGGAAGAAGATGCCATCTAGGACTGCCATAGCTAGAGAGGAGGAATCAATGTCTGGCTTCAAAGGACAAGCTCATTCTCTTGTGAGGGGTTGATGCAGCTGGTGACTTCACATTGAAACTAATGCTTGTTGACCATTCTGAAAATCCTAGGGCCCTTAAGAATTAGGCCAAATTTTCTCTGCCTAAGCTCTAACAATGGAACAATGAACCTGAACCCCGTAGTTGATAGTACATCTGTTAGTAGCATGGTTTGCTGAATATTTTAAACCCATTGTTGAAGCCTGCTACTGAGAAAAACATTCCTTTCAAAATACTACTGCTCATTGACCAATTCACCTGTTTACCCAAGAGCTCTGATGAAGATGTACGAGGAGATCAATGTTGCTTTCATGTCTGGAAACACAGCATCCCTTCTGCAGCCCGTGGATCAAGGAGTAATTTCAACTTTCAAGTCTTATTCTTTAAGAAATACACTTCAAAAGGCTGTAGCTGCCAGAAATAATTATTCCTCTCTTGGATCTGAGCAAAGTAAATTGAGAACTTTCTGGAAAGGATGCACCATCCTAGATGCCATTAAGAACATTCTTGATTCATGGGAGGAGGTCAAACTATCAACATTAACAGGAGTTTGGAGGAAGTTAATTCCCATTCTCATGGATGATTTTGAGGTGTTCAAGACTTCAGTGGAGGAAATAGCTGCAGATGTGGTGGGAATAACAAGAGAACTGGAATTAGAAGTGGAATATGAAGAGGTAACTGAATTGCTGCATCTTATGGTAAAACCTGAAGAAATGAAGGGTTGCTTCTTTTTTTTTGGGGGGGGGTGCCGGAATGTTGCTGTGTTGCCCAGGCTGGAGTGCAGTGGCGTGATCTCGGCTCACAGCAAGCTCTGCCTCCCGGGTTCAGGCCATTCTCCTGCCTCAGCCTCCTGAGTAGCTGGGACTACAGGTGCCCGCCACCACGCCCGGCTAATTTTTTGTATTTTTTGTAGAGACGGGGTTTCACCATGTTAGCCAGGATGGTTTTGATTTCCTGACCTTGTGATCTGCCTGCCTCGGCCTCCCAAAGTGCTGGGATTACAGGTGTCAGCCACTGCGCCTGGCTGGGTTGCTTCTTATGGATAAGCAAAGAAAGTGTTTTCTTGAGTTGGAATCTACTAGTAAAGATGCTGTAAATGTTGAAATGACAACAAAGGATTTAGAATATTATATAAACTTAGCTGATGAAGCAGTGGCAGGGTTTGAGAGGATCAACTCCTGTTTTGAGGAAGTTTTGTGGGTAAAATGTTATCAAACAAGTATTGCACACAGAGAGATCTTTCATGAAAGGAAGAGTTGATTAATACGGCAAACTTCGTCACTGTCTTACTTTAAGAAATTGCCACAGCCGCTCCCACCTTTTAGCAACCACCACCCTGATCTGTCAGCAGCCATCAACATCAAGGCAAGACCCTCCACCAGCAAAAAGATAACTTGCAGAAGGCTTGGATAATCATTAGCATTTTTTAGCAGTAAAGTGTTTTTTGTTTTGTTTTGTTTTTTTGAGATGGAGTTTCGCTCTTGTTGCCCAGGCTGGAGTGGAATGGCGCCATCTGGGCTCACTGCAACCTCTGCCTCCTGGGTTCAAGTGATTCTCCTGCCTCAGCCTCCTGAGTAGCTGGGATTACAGATGCCCACCACCACAACCAGCTAATTTTTGTATTTTAGTAGAGATGGGGGTTTCACTATGTTGGCTAGGCTGGTCTCGAACTCCTGACCTCAAGTGATCCACCCGCCTCGGCCTCTCAAAGTGCTAGGATTACAGGCATGAGCCACTGAGCCTGGCCAGTAAAGTGTTTTTAAATTAAGGCATGTAGATTGATTTTTTTTTTTAGACATAATGCTATTGCAAACTTTAAATAGACTACAGTATAGTATAAACATAACTTTTTATGCACTGGAAAACCAAAAAATATGTGCAGTGGTGCGATCTCTGCTCACTGCAACCTCCACCTCCCAGGTTCAAGTGATTCTTCTGTCTCAGCCTCCCTAGTAGTTGGGACTACAGGTGCGTGCCGCCACGCCTGGCTAATTTTTTGTGTTTTTAGTAGAGATGGAGTTTCACCGTGTTGGCCGGGATGGTCTCGATCTTCTGACCTTGTGATCCACCCACCTCGGCCTCCCAAAGTGCTGGGATTACAGGCATGACCCACCACGCCCAGCAATATTCACTCTTTTGTGGTGATCTGGAGCTGAACCCACAATGTCTCTGAGATATACCTGCATTCCCTTCTGCCTAGAATGCCTTCCTCTCCTCTTGTCTGCTTGACAAGTTATTACTCAGTTTTTTCCAGTATCAAGTATGTCTTCTCTGGAAAGCCTTCTCTAATTTCCTTTGGCTGACATAGACTTTTTTTGCTCCCACTTCCCCACCATACCTTGCAATTATCACACACTGTTATACTTGTTTACATGTCAAAGTTTCCCTAGATTGGAGAGTCCTTTAAGAAAAAGAATTACACTTTTCATTTTTGTATCATTGGTTGCTAGCATTCCCGTATTTGTTCAATAATGAATGACTTATTAATTGTTAACAACTTTAGAGAGGTACTATTATTTTTTAGGCTGTTGGGATGCTATTAAATATCATGACACTACAGTGCATTAAATTTGACAATACCAAGAAAGACTTTGAGCTGCTTTTTAAAAAAATCTTCACATAACAGTTTATAGTAACTTGATGCCCCTCTGTTTCAGCATTAATCAAGTCTGATCTGCGAAGACACAACATAAATATAGGAATTACAAATGTTGATGTTAAAGCTGTAAGTAATATTTTTATGATTATACTGTTGAGAAGTATGTATAGAATAAATGTGAAACCATATTTTTTTATTTAGCTATTTTTCTCCCGAGTCAACTGTTGATCTGTTATAATAGGATATGCCAGATGCTATACATTTTTAATCTTCTGATTGTTTTTATAGATACCAGCTGACAGTCCCACAGACCAAGAACCAAAAACGGTTATGTTGTCCAAGCAGTCAGAATCAGCAATTTGAAGAGAAAGGCAAAGTTACTGTCCTGTAGTAATTGGGGACAATGTGATCATCCTTGGAGAGAGATGTGAGCACCAAGGCTGGGTTTGTATGTGGTGGGGGAATAAACACACTTACTTGAAAATTACCATATGAACTCTAAATGCATAATTATTATTTTGCTTAATTGTTAAATTAAGGGAAATTTTCTTAAAATTCTTCTGTTTACATCATGTTAACACTACTGTTTATCTAATTAGTATCCGGTTTTTAGTCTCATATTGTATCTGAAAGTAAGCTTCTTGACGTTTACTTTTTAAAAGTCGATGTTTTTCTTTTTTGTAGAAAATGGAAGCTTAGAATACTTTTTAAAGTGATAATATGGGGTGTTCAGTCCCCATAAGATATAATAGTTCATGCAGTTTATATATTAAAGTATCCAGTGGAACTAAATGTACAATATATTCCTAATTGGCTGCCTTTTTCACTGTGCTGACCAGCTGTTCAAGCCACTTCAGTTTGAGTACAACATACCAACATGACACTACTCACCCACAAAGGACAGCATTGGGATCAGGCTTTCAGATGACCTCTAAGATTTTTCCCATTTATTGTACTCTTGTTACAAAGTACTTTTTAACACATGCAGTCAATGGCTATAAAAACTATTCTGTGTACAGATTCTACCCAGACTTTGGTCTTAGAATTATGTTCTAATTAAGGAGCCTGGTTACAGGTTCATTCTGTCTTGAGTTCTTTTCTGTGCTGCCTTTCTATCATGGATAAATGCTAACGCTGTATTTTTTCACTCCAACTTGAGATAGAGTAGTTTTGTACCCATTGCCTTTTTTTTCTTTTAAACTCTCTTTTTTTTTTTTTCCTGATGTGTAACTTTCTAGTAAGATAATTTCATCATGTATGTTACTGGCTATTTCATGATTTCATGTATCACATCGTATATTTTGCCTTGAAGATTCCTGAAATAAGGAAATCTATAATAACTTCAGATAGCCTACATGTCCCCATTTAGTGGAGACCTCTTGAATGCTATTTGAATTCTGCAGTATCATTTTTATGACCATTCTCCTTTGAGGAATACTATGCCCAGGTACATGCTCTATCAGTGTGCCGGGAGAGTGGATTCTTTTCTTCACTGCAGAGTCATCACACTGTTAGAATAGTCTGCTCTTTTACATGCTCAGGTAGGGAAAATAGGACCAAATATATTTCCACAGTGCCTACCACTGTGTCATGTTTACAGTGAGAGTTTAAATATTGTTGATGTCCTGACTCTGTGAGCTCATAGGGAGTATCTTCATAGTAATGACATTTGATCAGCCATAAAATTTACATTATGTTCATATGCACCCAAAAAAGCTAGTCAGGTAATGAATACCCTTGAAGTGAATAGCAATTTTGATTTAGGCAGTGTGTTAGGCCATCCTTGCATTGCTATAAAGAAATATTTAGGCTGGGCGTGGTGGCTCACGCCTGTAATCCCAGCACTTTGGGAGGCTGAAGCGTGTGGATCACCTGAGGTCAGGAGTTCAAGACCAGCCTGGCCAACATGGTAAAACCCCATCTCTACTAAAAAAAAAAAAAAAAAAAAAAAAAAAAAAAAAGGCCAGGCGCAGTGCTGTGGCTCATGCCTGTAATCTCAGCACTTTGGGAGGCCAAGGCAGGTGGATCACAAAGTCAGGAGTTCAAAACCAGCCTGGCCAAGATGGTGAAACCCCATCTCTACTAAAAATACAAAAATTAGCGCAGTGGCAGGCGCCTGTAATCCCAGCTACTCAGGAGGCTGAGGCAGGAGAATCGCTTGAATGCGAATGGCAGAGGTTGCAGTGAGCGAAAATCACACTACTGCACTCCAGCCTGGGAGATAAAGTGAGACTGTCTCAAATAAATAAATAAATAAATAAATAAATAAATAAATAAATAAATAAAACCTGAGGTTGAGCACGATGGCTCACACCTATAGTCCCAGCACTTTGGGAGGCTGAGGTGGGTGGATCATTTGAGGCCAGGAGTTGAAGACCAGTCTGGCCAACATGGCAAAACCCCATCTCTACTAAAAATACATACACACACACACACACACACAAATTAGCCGGGCATGGTGGCACACGCCTGTAGTCCCAGCTTCTTGGGAAGCTGAGGCATGAGAATTGCCTGAACCTGGAAGGCGGAGGCTACAGTGAGCTGAGATTGCGCCACTGCACTCCAGCCTGGGTGACAGAGCGAGACTCTGTTTCAGGAAAAAAAGAACAGAAATACCTGAGACTGGGTAATTTATAAATAAAAGAGGTTTAAGTGGCTCACAGTTCTGCAGGCTGTGTAAGCATGGCACCAGTGTCTGCTCGGCTTCTGGGGAGCCCTCAGGGAGCTTTACTCATGGTGAAAGGCTAAGTGGGAGCAGA
The DNA here is from genome assembly GCF_000001405.40 of Homo sapiens. NCBI lineage: Eukaryota > Metazoa > Chordata > Mammalia > Primates > Hominidae > Homo > Homo sapiens. The sequence goes on from NC_000001.11 coordinate 212,897,687, forward strand.
GATGTCACATGGCGAAGCAGGAGCAAGAGAGCAGGGAGGTGCCACACACCTTCAAACAACCAGATTTTGTGAAAACTCACTCATTACTGCAAGGACAGCACCAAGCCATGAGGGATCCACCCGCAGGACCCAAACACCTTCTATTAGGGCCAACCTTCAACATTGGGGATTACATTTCAATGTGAGATTGGAGGGACAAGTATCCCAACTATATCAGGCAGAATATATGCATTGATATATATTGAAATTATAACATTCTCTATAATCAAGTGACTGTAAATTATGTCGAATCTGACCCTGGGGAATGTGTTATCTAAAGAATTTGACTAAGAATCAGGAACTCTGTGTCCATGTCCTGGATGTATTTCTGTATGTTCCTATAACTCTGGACAAATCATTAAACCTCTCTGGGCAGCGTTTTCCTCATCCATGAAATGAATGTGTTCAATTTGATCTCAAAGATCTTTCCAAAATATTAAATGCCATTAATCATGGAATAGACCAAATTATTGTATCACAGGAACTTGAATCCAGCCAGAGAAAAATTCCCTGGACAATTGGATAAACAAATGTGATTGCTACCTTATGGATACAACGGACTTTTACATTTCTTTTTAGCCTTTTTAGTCAGTTGAGGGTAACTCAAGCAGAGTATGTCCAATCATTAGCTTCCTTTGATATTTACATTACAGGTAAAAACGGCCAAAAATATATTTTAAGGTCTCTCCCCAAATGTTTTTATTTTTAAACTATCAATGTTGTTTAAAATAATCATGTACTTGTTGAGTTCCTGAGGTTTGGAACAAATTACACATAAAATTTAGAATACTTTATTTCTGAAAAGCATATACATATATGTTATGTTTATTTTTCCTTGTTGATTAGAAAGGTGATGGAATATGTGACAATGCAAAATGAATTGATAATTTTTCTGTATTTTGAGTGAAAGTTGTCTGTAATATGTCAAGCAAGAATGTTATAATTCTACAGTAATGTGTGACTTCATGACAGAGCTACATTCTGAGAAATTTGTCATTAGGTGATTTCATCATTGTGTGAACATCATGAAGTGTACTTACACAAACCTAGGTGGTAGAGCCTACTGCACACCTGGGCTAGATGGCAAAGTCTGTCGCTTCTGGGCTACAGACCTGTACAGCATGGTACTGTATTGAATACTGTAGGCAACTGTAACACAATGGTATCTGTGTAATCTAAACATAGAACAGATAATACATTGTGCTACAATGTAACAATGGCTGTGGCATCACTAGGTGATAGGAATTTTTCAGTTCCATTATAATCTTATAGGATCTCTGTCATATGTGGTCAATTGTTGATCGAAACATGACTGTATGTCGTATTTTCAGAAAATGGAATAGGTAATCATCACTTGTGTGAATTTTAATCAAATGACTTAGGAAAGAAACTGGATGTTTCAAAAGCTGTTGCATTTATTACAAATGTCACAAATACAGCTCTTGCCTTTTGAGAATGTTGGAGAGATGTCTTTAAAAAATATGTTTGTGTGTAAAAATGTGTCTGTATGCAATAGCTAGAAAAATGCCTGTGTCTTAAGTCATTACTCATGTTCTAATTTTTGTTCTTTGTACTATTTATCTGTATGCTTGTTCTTCAGTATTTCAGACTCAAAATAAATTTATTTTTTTATGTTAATTTTCTGTGACTTTTTGAAAAATTCTGATGCTTAGGTACACATGGGGAGTTTAAAGGGATTATAAAATTTCAGAATGGGCAAAGAGGGAATGAGGTAGTGCATGGAACATAAAATGAGGAAACAAAGTCTACCAGGGTCAGGGCTAAAATAGATACTAAAATATTTTATTCCTTTAAAAGTAACTTTAGAGAGTGATGTTAGCAAGATGGCAGAATAGGAGCTTTATATCATCATTCTTCCACAGAAGCATTGATTTTTACCAGTACTTTCAGATGGTAGTTCTTTTGTAGGAATCCAGAAGTCCTACGTGGAAGTTCCAGCACACCATTGGAGCAGAAATATCTGAGAATAAATGCATTAAAGAAAAGGAAGAAGAAGATTTTCACTTTATCTGCATCACTCTTTGAAGTTGGCACAGCTTAGTGGCAAGAGAGACTCCCCTCAGTCCACAATTTCTCCCATGGGAGAAGGTGATAGCATAGTGAGAGTGCTCAGCCCCTAGCTGTGTGGGATGCTGCCTAAGAACCCTACCTCTTTCTTGCTCCAATTAAAATATTGAGGTGACTGTCATAGCTAAGCGTTGGGAAAGGCTGGGAGCAGGGAAGAAAGGCTCTGAAACCTACTCAGCACTCCACAGACTCCATCAGGAAGCCTCACCAGCCACTGGGATACCTTGCATATGGACCTCCCACATGACCCATGGCCACCCCAAATTCTCTGTGCACCTCACCCCCATCTCCCTGAGGCTGGCTTCCCAAGCATGCCACATTGGATGGCAACTGCAAGCATCAAATATAGAGACAGATGGCTTGATTGTGGAATTGAAGCAAGGTACACAAACTTGAGTACTTCAGGACACCACCCCAGGGGAAACAAACAGGAAGCTGTCAGCACCTGGCCTGGCTTTGTGGGATTGAGATAAGGCATATAACTTTTAAGAATCCCCTGCTGCAAGTGGGAACAGGGGTTGTGGAGCAGGTGAATCCACAGGAAAGGTAGGAGAGAGCCTCAGAATTCCTAGCCAGGCAGATTGATGAAGGCATTTCTCTCCTGAAGCTAGTCAATAAAGACTGGAGGAAGTGATTTTCTTCAAATGCAAGGATGGAAATGGAAGACTTCAAGAAAACAAAAAATGGAAACATGATATCACCTAAGGAGCACAATAATATTACAGTAACAAATCCAAAGAAATTGAGATATATGAATTGCTTGACAATAAATTTAAATTGTTTTAAGAAAATTCAGTGAGCTACAAGAGAACAGATATACAACTCTATGAAATCAGAAAAACAATGCATGAACAAAATGGAAGTTCAGCAAAGAGAAATCATAAAAAAATTCTGCTGCTGAAGAATACAATCAGAAAGGAAAAAAGCAGTAGTCAACAGCAGATTTGATCAAGCAGAAGAAAGAATCTGAATTCCAAGACAGGTCATTTGAAAATATGCAGCCAGAGGAGAGAAAAAGAATGAAAAGATTAAAGAGAGCTTATGAGATTTATGGAACAACATTAAGAGCTAACAGTTGCTTTATGGAAATAATAAAGGAGAAGAGAAAGAAGGAGCAGAAAGCTTATTTAATAAAGCATGGCTGAAAGCTTCTCAAATGTGGGAGAGACACAGACATTAAGGTATATGTCGCTCAAAGTTCTGCAATCTGGTTCAACCCAAAGAAGACTTTGCCAAGACACATTACACTGAAACAGTCAAAAGTAAAAGAATTAAACTTTTTTCCTTTTTTTTTTTTCTCTTTTTTGAGACAGAGTCTCACTCTTGTCTCCCAGGCTGGGGTGCAGTGGCATGATCTTAGCTCACTGTAACCACCTCCTCCTAGGCCCAAGCGATTTTCATGCCTCAGCCTCCCAAGTAGCTGGGATTACAGGCATGCACCACCATGGCTGGCTATTTTTTTTTTTTTTTTGTATTTTTAGTAGAGATAAGGTTTCACTACGTTGGCCAGGCTGGTCTCAAACTCCTGGCCTCAAGTGATCCACCTGCCTTGGCCTCTCAAAGTGCTGGTATTACAGGTATGAGCCACTGTGCCCAGCCAAAAATCAAAGAGAATTTTTAAAGCAGCACAAGGAAAAAGAAGCTTATCACATACAAGGGAGACCCCATAGGCTATCAGATTTCTCAGCAGAAACCTTGCAGGCCAAGAAGAGTAGGATGATATATTCAAAATGCTGAAATTTAAAAAAGAAAAATAAACTGCTAACCAAGAATACTTTACCTGATAAATCTGTCCTTCAGAAAAGGAAAGATTAACTTTCCCAGACAAATAAAAACTGAGGGAGTTAAATCACCACCAGACCTACCTTGCGAGAAATGCTAAGTGGAGTTCTTCAAGCTGAAACAAAAGTATGCTAATTTTAATGCTAATATGAAAACATAAAAAGGTATAAAACTCACTGGTAAAGATACGTATATAGTCAAAATCAGAATATTCTAATACTGCAGTGGTTATGTGTAAATCATTTTAACTCGTGTATAGGCTAAAATAAAAATATTAAAAATAACTAGCTTTGGTAATTCATTAATTGATACACAATATAAAAGGATGAATATTGTGACAGCAAAAGCATAAAATGGCGTATAAAAGTGTAGAGTTTTTGTGTGTGAACAAAGTTAAGTTGCTATCAGCTTAAAATAGACAATAAGATGTTTTATGTAAGCCTGTTTTAACCACAAAGCAGAAACCCGTAGTAGACACACACAGATAAAGAGAAAGGGATCTAAGTATACTACTAAGGAAAATCATCTAATCACAAAAGACAGCAAGAGAGGAAGAAAAGGACAAAGGATCTTTAAAACCGCCAGAAAACAACAAAATGCCTGTAAGTTCTTACCTGTCAATAATTACTTTAAATGTAAATGGGTTAAATTATCCAATCATAGACATAGATTGGCTAAATGGATTTAAAAACCAAACTGTATGCTGCTTACCAGAGTCACTTTAGCTTTAAAGATATACATAGGCCGTAAAGGGATGGAAAGAGAGAATCCATACAAATGGAAACAGAAATAGAGCAGGGTAGCTTTATTTATTTATTTATTTTTGAGACAGAGTCTCACTCCACCCAGGCTGGAGTGTAGTGGCATGATCTCAGCTCACTGCAACCTCCACCTCCTGGGTTCTTGTGATTCTCATGCTTCATCCTCCCAAGTAGTGGGGATTACAGGTGTGCACCACCACACCCATCTAATTTTTGTATTTTTAGGAAATGGAGTTTCACTGTGTTGGCCAGGCTGGTCCTGAATGCCTGACCTCAGGTGATCTGCCTGCCTTGGCCTCCCAAATGTTGGGATTACAGTTGTGAGCCACTGCACCTGGCCAGGGTAGCTATATTTAAATCAGACAAAATGGACTTTAAGTAAAAACTTTGGCCAGGCATGGTGGCTCACGCCTGTAATCCCAGCACTTTGGGAGGCCAAGGCAGGTGGGTTACCTGAGGTCAGGAGTTCGAGACCAGCCTGACCAATATGGTGAAACCCCATCTCTACTAAAAATACAAAAATTAGCTGGGCGTGGTGGCAGACGCCTGTAATCCCAGTTACTCAGGAGGCTGAGGCAGGAGAATCGCTTGAGCCTGGGAAACAGAGGTTGCAGTGAGCTGAGATCGTGCAACTGCACTCCAGCCTGGCCAACAGAGTGAGACTCTTGTCAAAAAACAAACAAAAAAAACACCTAAAAAACTTTAACAAGGGACAAAGAAGACTATTATATAATGATAATGGAGTCAATTTTTTTTTTTTTTTTTTTTGAGACAGAGTCTCGCTCTGTCGCCAGGCTGGAGTGCAGTGGTGTGATCTCGGCTCACTGCAACCTCCGCCTCCCAGGTTCAAGCAATTCCCCCTGCCTCAGCCTCCCAAGTAGCCAGTACTATAGGCCTGCACCACCATGGCCAGCTAATTTTTTGTATTTTAGTAGAGACGGGGTTTCACCACATTGGCCAGGATGGTCTCGATCTCCTGACCTCATGATCCGCCCACCTTGGCCTCCCAAAGTGCTGGGATTACAGACATGAGCCACTGTGCCTGGCCTTAATGGGGTCAATTATTTAAGAGGATCCAACAAGTTGTGTGTGCATGTGTGTGTGTGTGCCAACAGTGGACTACCTAAAATTATGCAAAGCAAATATTAACAGATCTGAAAGGAGAAATAGCAGTAGAATTAATAGGGGATTTCAGTACCCCACTTGCAACAATTGATAGAACATCCAGCCAAAATCAATAAGGAAACATTGGATTTGAATTACACCTTAGACCACATGGACTTAATGGACATATATTGAATATTCCATCCAATAGCAACAGAGTACACATTTTCCTCAAGTACACATGGAACATTCTCCAGGATGGGTCATATGTTAGGCCCAAAAGAATGTCTTTAAAATACATTTAAATAAGAAATACAATTGAAATAATCATATATTCCTTAAGACATAATATCATATTAAGCAACTTCTCTGATGCTTACAATGATAGGAAATTACACAATTACATATTATTTCACAATGATATGAAATTACCCACCAATAGAAAGAAAACTGGAAAATTCAAAAATATGTAGAAATTAAACAACAGATTCTGAACAACTAGTGAGTCGAAGAAATCAAACAGGAAATCAAAAAATATTTTGGGACAAATGAAAATAGAAATACTTTCTATTTCCATTACCATATCAAAACTGATGGAATGCAGCAAAAACAGTTCAAGGAGGGAAATTATAACAATAAATGGCCACATGAAGAAATATCTTAAATAAATCACCTAACTTTACACCTGAAGGAACTAGACAAAGAAGAACAAATTAAGCCCAAAATTAGTAGAAGGAAGTAAATGACAAAGATGAGAACAGAAATAAATGAAATATAGACTAGAAAAATAATAGAAAAGATCAGTGAAACTAGGAGTTGTATTTTTTGAAAAGAAAAACAAAATTGATGAACCTTAGAGTAAGAAAAAGAGAAGTCTCAAATGAAATTGTAAATGAAAGAGGAGATATTACAACTGATACCACAGAAATACAAAGAATCATGAGACTATTATGAACAATTGTACTTCAACAAACTGGATAACCTAGAAATTGATAAATTTCTATAAACATACAACCTACCAAGACTGAGTCATGAAGAGATAGAAAATCTGAGTATACCAATAACAAGTAAGTAGATTGTATCAGTAATCAAAAATTGTCCGTAGAAGAAAAACCAAAGTCCCAGTGGCTTCACTGGTGAATTCTACCACACATTCAAAGAAAATAATACTAGTCCTTCTTAAAGTGTTCCATAAAATTTCAGAGGACGAACACTTCCAAACTAATTGTCAGCATTACCCTGATACCAAAACCAGTCAAGGACATTATAGAAAATAAAATTACAGGCCAGTATCCCTGATCCTCCACAAAATACTAGCAAACCAAATTTAACAACACATTAAAAGGATCATACACTATGATCAAATGGGATTTATCCCAGGGATATAAGGATGGTTCAACATATACAATTCAATAAATGTGATATACTATAAGGGTAAAAATTATATAGTCACCTCAATAGATGCAGAAAAAGTATTTGACAAAATTCAACACCCTTTCATGATAAAACCTCAAAAAAAAAAAAAGACATAGAAGGAGCTTAACCTCAACACAATAAAGATCATTTATGAAAAGCCCACAGCTAACATTATACTCAATGGTGAAAAAGCTGAAATCTCTTCCTCTAAGATCCAGAACAAGGCAAGGAGGTCCACTCTTACCACTTCTATTTAGTAGGACTGGAAGTTCTAACATGAGTAATTAGATAAGAAAAAGAAATAAAAGGCATCCAGACCTGAAAGGAAGAATTAAAATTGTGTGCAGATAACATGATCTTATGTATAAAAATCTCTAGAGATTCTATGAAAAAACATTTAAAAATAAATTCAGGAAAGTTGCTGGATACAAAATCAACATATGAAAACAGTTGCATTTCTATATACTAATGAACTATCTGAAAAACTAAGCAAAAAATTTCATTTACAATAAGATCAAAAAGAATAAAGTACTCAGAAATAAGTTTAATCAAGGAGGTGAAAAATCTGTACAATGAAAACTATAATGCATTGATGCAAGAAATTGAAGACAAATTAATGGGAAGATATCCCAAGTACATGGATCAGAAGAATCAATATTGTCAAAATGTCCAACTACCCAAAGCAACCTTAAGATTAAACACAATTTCTCTCAAAATTCCAATCGCATTTTTCATAAAAATAGAACAATCTTAAAATTTGTGTGGAACCTCAAGAGAACTTGAATAGCTAAAGCAAACTTGAGAAAGATCAAAGTTGTATCACACTTCCTGATTTCAAATTATATTACAAAGTTACTGTAATCAAAACGGCATGATACTCTCATAAAAACAAACTAGGCCAATGGAACAGAAAGCCCAGAAATAAACTCATACATACACTGTCAATTAATCTGTGACAAGAATACACAATGTGGAAGGGATAGTCTTCAATAGATACTGTTGGGAAACCTGGATAACCACATGCAAAAAAAAAAAAAAAATGAAATTGGATTCTTATCTTACATCATACACAAACATCAACTCAAATGGATTAAAGACAGGGCAGGTGTGGTGGCTCATGCCTGTAATCCCAGCACTTTGGGAGGCCGTGGTGGAAGGATCACTTGAGTTAGGAGTTTGAGGACAGCTTGGGCAACATAGTAAGACCTCGCCTCTACCAAAAAAAATTTAAAAATTAGCCAGGTATGGTGGCACACGCCTGTGGTCTCAGCTACTCAGGAAAGCTGAGTTGGAAGAATCTCATGAGCCCAGGAGGTTGAAGCTGCAGTAAGCCGAGATTGCACCACTGCACTCCAGCCTGAGTGACAGAATGAGACCTTATCTCAATAACAACAACAACAACAACAAAGACTTAAATATAAGACCTGAAATCATAAAATGTAAGGAGGAAACATAGGCATTGATGAGCAATGATTTTTTTTTAATATGACACCAAAAACAGAGACAGCAAAAGCAAACATAAACAAGTGGGACTAAACTTTTAGCGTAGAACAGCAATTTTGCCCGCCACCACTTTTGCACCATCATTGCAAATGTCAACATAGTGAAAAAGGTATATAACTTCTTTGTATTATTATGAAAAGAGTTTGGACATTATGGATTCCCTGAAAAGGGTCTTGCTTCTAGAAAGGAGAAACTGGCTATCACTACATTGATCAATGATTCACAATGCCAGAATATGGAGAGAATAAAGAGTAAGGGAGGATCAAGGATCAAAGGCCTCTAATTAAAGGAGGTAGGTGGAACATAAAGAGTTAGTGGAGACAAAGAAGGAGCCTAAGGGAAAGACAGGCAGAAGATTTAGGGTGGTTTTATTAATGAGACCAAAGAGAAGAGAATTGGTAGCTGCAAAGCAAGATACTACCTCTGTGTAAACGAAGAGTTATAAAAAGCTGCTACTACCATCTGTTGTCATGCCATTTAAATTATAATTAGTATGATATTTCAGGATAAAGTTTCCAGCATTATTTAGTTTTACAAACAGCTAAATATTTGAGGCAAAAGCCATGAAACTGTTTAAAATATAAAATAATAACATGGCATTTTATCTGTTACCGGCTACCCTATAAGAAATAGGAACTTTAAAATCTAAGACCTTTCTCAGATCCCATTCAGAATCACTAAAATTTACATTTAGATTTTCAGTGGGAAAAACTACTTCCATCCAGAAAAAAAGATACTCTTTATTTTCAATAGCAGGCGAAGAAATCTAGGTAAGTAACACATTTCTGAAGTCACCTCTTTCCTGTAAGCCACCTGTTAGTGTCAGCTTCTTGTCCTCACCACACTGCCCCTCACTTTCTGCAGGAAGAGTTGGTCAAACTAATAGGTGACATCCCGCCCTGAAGTAATTTCAGGGCCCTTGACAGGATCCCATGCCTGGAAGATGCCTTTATGACCTTTCACCGGAGATACGATATTTTTGGGTCCCTAAAGAGAGAGAAGGTTTCAAAGCACACCAGACTACCAAGAGGGAATATCTCATCTTAAGTCTGATGGCTGTCCTGCAAGCAGGTTTGAATAGGAGGGAGGAGGAGATGGGGCTTGGAGGCCCTATAGCCTTGAGAAAGGAGAAAAGGACGGCACAGGAGAGAAATTTAGAAAGGACTCATTAAAATAAGACATATGAGCCTCATTTTCCATTTCGACAAGTGACGTATTAAGCCTTTGTTTTATCTTGTTATATGTACCCATTTGCACTTTTCCCTTTATCTTGATTATTTTAACCCGTGGGCGAAATGGTAACTGTAAAGAGAACAACCTGGCGGAAACCAGTGGAAACTTGATTTCTGGTTGGAGCCCATAGGTTTCGGTTGACAAATGCTGCTTGAGCATACCTCTCATTCCCATAATGAGGAAAACATTTGATTCTTCCAGGGATGAACTGGCCCCAAACTCCCTGAGATAAAATGATAAATTAGATTTTTATAAAGTTTCATAATGCATAAAAATTAAAATGAGGCTGAAATAGGACTGACAGTGCTTTCTTTTTCAGTGAAAAGGCTGAATCCTTCAAAACATACTTTGACCCCAAACCAAGACGGACAAGATCTGGGTCATTCCAGCTAGGGCAGAATTTGTCCATGGCCAGAGCTTTCTATTGTGTCATCAGGAGCTCAGAATTTAAAAAGATGTCCCTGGAGAGGCTATACACAGCAATAAACTCATTCTTTGCAACGTTATTCAATACTTGGTACTCTTATTCATAAGGTAGATTCCTTGAATGGTTTTCTTCTGTTATTTATGTGCATTACCTCACTGCCTCAACTGTACCATGAGCCCTTTGAAAGTATTCATCGGCCGGGTGCTGTGGCTCACACCTGTAATCCCAGCACTTTGCGAGGCTGAGGTGGGCGGATCACCTGAGGTAGGTTTCATGCGCGTCCGTGTGAAGAGACCACCAAACAGGCTTTGTATGAGCAACAAGGTGGTTTATTTCACCTGCGTGCAGGCGGGCTGAGTCCGAAAAGAGAGTCAGCGAAAGGAGATAAGGGTGGGGCCATTTTATAGGATTTGGGTAGATAAAGGAAAATTACAGTCAAAGGGGGGTTGTTCTCTGGCGGGCAGAGTGGGGGTCACAAGGTGCTCAGTAGGGGAGCTTTTGAGCCAAGATGAGCCAGGAGAAGGAATTTCACAAGACAATGTCATCAGTTAAGGCAGGAACAGGCCATTTTCACTTCTTTTGTGGTGGAATGTCATCAGTTAAGGCAGGAACCGGCCATCTGGATGTGTACGTGCAGGTCACAGGGGATATGATGGCTTAGCTTGGGCTCAGAGGCCTGACAGTAGGGAGTTTGAGACCAGCCTGACCAACATAGAGAAACCACGTCTCTACTAAAAATACAAAATTAGCCAGGTGTGTTGGCACATGCCTGTAATCTCAGCTACTCGGGAGGCTGAGGCAGGAGAATCACTTGAACCCGGGAGGTGGAGGTTGCAGTGAGCCGAGATTGCGCCATTGCACCCCAGCCTGGGCAACAAGAGCAAACTTCCATCTCAAAAAAAAAAAAGAAAGAAAGAAAGAAAGAAAAAGAAACAAAGTATTCATCATGGATTACAGGATAAAAACATGGTCTTTGTGGGGCCCAAAGTCTTAGGTTTGAAACCTATTTATGATCTTGGGAAAGTAACTTAAACCCCCTGAATTTCCGTTTCCTCCTCAATTAAATAGGACAATATTTCCTGTTTTGCAGCTTTGTGGTGAGGGTTAAATTTAAGCAGAAGGCACACAGTAGGTCCTCAATGAATCAGATCCATTATGACTCTCATTTTAAAAAAGTGTGAATAGGAACTTGCTGCTGATAACACACACTTAAGAAGCAGCAGCCTGATTTGAAAGAACCAGTGTTCGAACTTGACTTTTTTTTTTTTTTTTTTTGAGATGGAGTCTCACTCTGTTGCCTAGGCTGGAGTGCAGTGGCGCAGTCTCAGCTCACTGCAGCGTCCACCTCCCGGGTTCAAGTGATTCTCCTGCCTCAGCCTCCTGAGTAGCTGGGATTACAGGCATGCGCCACCACGCCTGGCTAATTTTTGTATTTTTTTTTTTTTTAGTAGAGACGGGGTTTCACCATTTTGGTCAGGCTGGTCTCGAACTCCCGACCTCGTGATCTGCCCGCCTTGGCCTCCCAAAGTTCTGGGATTATGGGTGAGCCACCGCCCCAGGTCTAAACTTGACGTTATTTATAAGCAGCTGCCAATAAAATTATTATTTTCCCAAAATATTGTCACTTGCATGTGTATGTGGGTACAGTGCTGGGCACTGTGCAAAGATGGTGAAACAAAAATGAATTCAGAAGATATCTGAATTCAGGGGAGATATGGGCAAATAAGATGGTAGCCAAGGGATTTGGGCACCAAAAGAACAAAACTGAGTTGTTTTGTGAGCAGGAAAAATGGTTCCTATATTTATCGCACAATCCTCAACAAAGGAAATTAAAAAACAAGCTAGAAAGGAAGCCACCAACAAGCCCACTACCCATGAATAACTCACTTTTCTTGTTCTCTTTTAGTTTATAGGCATACATAATTTTACATAAGAATAAAGCAGTTTCTATATTTAACATAAGACCATTGTCAGGCCTCTGAGCCCAAGCCAAGCCATCGCATCCCCTGTGACTTGCACGTATACGCCCAGATGGCCTGAAGTAACTGAAGAATCACAAAAGAAGTGAATATGCCTTGCCCCACCTTAACTGATGACATTCCACCACAAAAGAAGTGTAAATGGCCGGTCCTTGCCTTAACTGATGACATTACCTTGTGAAAGTCCTTTTCCTGGCTCATCCTGGCTCAAAAAGCACACCCACTGAGCACCTTGCGACCCCCACTCCTACCCGCCAGAGAACAAACCTCCTTTCACTGTAATTTTCCTTTACCTACCCAAATCCTATAAAACGGCCCCACCCTTATCTCCCTTCGCTGACTCTCTCTTCGAACTCAGCCCGCCTGCACCCAGGTGAAATAAACAGCCATGTTGCTCACACAAAGCCTGTTTGGTGGTCTCTTCACAAACCCCTTCTTCACCCTTAGCAGCAAGTCCCGCTTTCCTGGGGCAGGGCAAGTACCCCTCAACCCCTTCTCCTTCACCCTTAGCGGCAAGTCCCACTTTCCTAGGGGGCAAGAACCCCCCAATCGCTTATTTCCGCACCCCAACCTCTTATCTCTGTGCTCCAATCCCTTATTTCCGCACCCTGACCTCTTATCTCTGTGCCCCAATCCCTTATTTCCGTGCCCCAACCCCTTCTCTGCTTTTCTGGAGGGCAAGAACCCCCCACCCCTTCTCCGTGTCTCTACTCTTTTCTCTGGGCTTGCCTCCTTCACTATGGGTATGTTTCCACCTTCCATTCCTCCTTCTTCTCCCTTAGCCTGTGTTCTCAAAAACTTAAAACCTCTTCAACTCACACCTGACCTAAAACCTAAATGCCTTATTTTCTTCTGCAATGCCGCTTGACCCCAATACAAACTCGACAGTAGTTCCAAATAGCCAGAAAATGGCACTTTGAATTTTTCCATCCTGCAAGATCTAAATAATTCTTGTCGTAAAATAGTCAAACGGTCTGAGGTGCCTGACGTCCAGGCATTCTTTTACACATCAGTCCCGTCCTAGCCTCTGTGCCCAGTGCAACTCGTCCCAAATCTTCCTTCTTTCCCTCCCGCCTGTCCCCTCAGTACCAACCCCAAGCATCGCTGAGTCTTTCTAATCTTCCTTTTCTACAGGCCCATCTGACCTCTTCCTTCCTCCCCAGGCTGCTCCTCGCCAGGCCGAGCTAGGTCCCATTTCTTCCTCAGCCTCCGCTCCTCCACCCTACAATCTTTTTATCGCCTCCCCTCATCACACCTGGTCCGGCTTACAGTTTCGTTCCGTGACTAGCCCTCCCCCACCTGCCCAGCAATTTACTCTTAAAAAGGTGGCTGGAGCCAAAGGCATAGTCAAGGTTAATGCTCCTTTTTCTTTATCCCAAATCAGATAGCGTTTAGGCTGTTTTTCATCAAATATAAAAATCCAGCCCAGTTCATGGCTCGTTTGGCAGCAACCCTGAGACACTTTACAGCCCTAGACCCTAAAAGGTCAAAAGGCCGTCTTATTCTCAATATACATTTTATTACCCAATCTGCTCCCGACATTAAATAAAACTCCAAAAATTAAATTCCGTCCCTCAAACCCCACAACAGGATTTAATTAACCTCGCCTTCAAGGTGTACCATAATAGAAAAAAGTTGCAATTCCTTGCCTCCACTGTGAGACAAACCCCAGCCACATCTCCAGCACACAAGAACTTCCAAACGCCTGAACCGCAGCAGCCAGGCCTTCCTCCAGAACCTCCTCCCACAGGAGCTTGCTACACGTGCTGGAAATCTGGCCACTGGGCCAAGGAATGCCCACTGCCCGGGATTCCTCCTAAGCCGCGTCCCATCTGTGTGGGACCCCACTGAAAATCGGACTGTTCAACTCACCTGGCAGCCACTCCCAGAGCCCCTGGAACTCTGGCCCAAGGCTCTCTGACTGACTCCTTCCCAGATCTTCTCGGCTTAGTGGCTGAAGACTGACACTGCCCGATCGCCTCGGAAGCCCCCTAGACCATCACGGACATCGAGCTTCGGGTAACTCACAGTGGAAGGTAAGCCCGTCCACTTCTTAATCAATACGGAGGCTACTCCACATTACCCTCTTTTCAAGGGCCTGTTTCCCTTGCCTCCATAACTGTTGTGGGTATTGACGGCCAGGCTTACTAAACCTCTTAAAACTCCCCAACTCTGGTGCCAACTTAGACAATACTCTTTTAAGCACTCCTTTTTAGTTATCCCCACCTGCCCAGTTCCCTTATTAGGCTGAGACACTTTAACTAAATTATCTGCTTCCCTGACTATTCCTAGACTACAGCTATATCTCATTGCCGCCCTTCTTCCCAATCCAAAGCCTCCTTTGCGTCCTCCTCTTCTATCCCCCCACCTTAACCCACAAGTATAAGATACCTCTACTCCCTCCTTGGCAACCGATCATGCACCCCTTACCATCTCATTAAAACCTAATCACTCTTACCCCACTCAACGCCAATATCCCATCCGGCAGCACGCTTTAAAAAGATTAACGCCTATTATCACTCGCCTGCTACAGCATGGCCTTTTAAAGCCTATAAACTCTCCTTACAATTCCCCCATTTTACCTGTCCTAAAACCAGACAAGCCTTACAAGTTAGTTCAGGATCTGCACCTTATCAACCAAATTGTTTTGCCTATACACCCCGTGGTGCCAAACCCATATACTCTCCTATCCTCAATACCTGCCTCTACAACCCATTATTCTGTTCTAGATCTCAAACATGCCTTCTTTACTATTCCTTTGCACCCTTAATCCCAGCCTCTCTTCACTTTCACTTGGACTGACCCTGACACCCATCAAGCTCAGCAAATTACCTAGGCTGTACTGCTGCAAAGCTTCACAGGCAGCCCCCATTACTTCAATCAAGCCCAAATTTCTTCCTCATCTGTTACCTATCTCGGCATGATTCTCATAAAAACACACGTGCTCTCCCTGCCAATCGTGTCCGACTGATCTCTCAAACCCAAGCACCTTCTACAAAACAACTCCTTTCCTTCCTAGGCATGGTTAGCGCAGTCAGAATTTTTACACAAGAGCCAAGACCACACCCTGTAGCCTTTCTGTCCAAACAACTTGACCTTACTGTTTTAGCCTAGCCCTCATGTCTGCGTGCAGCGGCTGCCGCTGCTTTAATACTTTTAGAGGCCCTCAAAATAAGTAGAGGCCTTTCCTACAGGGCCTGAGAAGGCCACCGCAGTCATTTCTTCCGTTCTGTCAGACATAATTCCTCAGTTTAGCCTTCCCACCTCAATACAGTCTGATAACTGTATTTATTAGTCAAATCAGCCAAGCAGTTTTCCAGGCTCTTAGTATTCAGTGAAACCTTTATATCCCTTACGGTCCTCCATCTTCAAGAAAAGTAGAATGGACTAAAGGTATTTTAAAAACATATCTCACCAAGCTCAGCCACCAACTTAAAAAGGACTGGACAATACTTTTACCACTTTCCCTTCTCAGAATTCAGGCCTGTCCTTGGAATGCTACAGGGTACAGCCCATTTAAGGTCCTGTATAGACGCTCCTTTTTATTAGGCCCCAGTCTCATTCCAGACACCAGACCAACTTAGACTGCGCCTCAAAAAAAAAAAAAAACTTGTCATTCCTACTATTTTCTGTCTAGTCATACTCCTATTCACCATTCTCAACTACTCATACATGCCCTGCTCTTGTTTACACTGCCAGTTTACACTGTTTTTCCAAGCCATCACAGCTGATATCTCCTGGTGCTATCCCCAAACTGCCACTCTTAACTCTTGAAGTAAATAAATAATCTTTGCCGGCAGGACTATGCCAAATCTCCTTAAGCACTCTCTAATCAGACATCCTGAGTCGTCCCAATTCTTAGACCTTTTATACCTGTTTTTCTCCTTCTGTTATTCCATTTAATTTTTCAATTCATACAAAACCGTATCCAGGCCATCACCAATCATTCTATATGACAAATGTTTCTTCTAACATCCCCACAATATCACCCCTTACCACAAGACCTCCCTTCAGCTTAATCTCTCCCACTCTAGGTTCCCACGCCGCCCCTAATCCCGCTTGAAGCAGCCCTGAGAAACATCGCCCATTCTCTCTCCATACCACCCCCCAAAAATTTTCACCGCCCCAACACTTCAACACTATTTTGTTTTATTTTTCTTATTAATATAAGAAGGCAGGAATGTCAGGCCTCTGAGCCCAAGCCAAGCCATCACATCCCCTGTGACTTACAGGTATACGCCCAGATGGCCTGAAGTAACTGAAGAATCACAAAAGAAGTGAATATGCCTTGCCCCACCTTAACTGATGACATTCCACCACAAAAGAAGTGTAAATGGCCAGTCCTTGCCTTAACTGATGACGTTACCTTGTGAAAGTCCTTTTCCTGGCTCATCCTGGCTCAAAAAGCACCCCCACTGAGCACCTTGCAACCCCCACTCCTGCCCACTGAGCACCTTGCGACCCCCACTCCTACCCGCCAGAGAACAAACCCCCTTTCACTGTAATTTTCCTTTACCTACCCAAATCCTATAAAACGGCCCCACCCTTATCTCCCTTCGCTGACTCTCTTTTCGGACTCAGCCCGCCTGCACCCAGGTGAAATAAACAGCCATGTTGCTCACACAAAGCCTGTTTGGTGGTCTCTTCACATGGACGCGCATGAAAACCATAAGCATTTTCCAATTGTCCTTTAAAACCATTATTTTCCATAACCACATAATATTGCAATAAGCTGACATAACATCGTTACCTAATGCTTCTCTACTCTTGGACATTCATTCATTCACTTATTCAACATGGAGCATTTAGAATTTTGTCAGTTTGTGGTAGGAGCTGGAAATGCAAAGACAGTGTTCCTCTTTCAAGATGCTCAAAGACAAGAAAAGAAATCATTTCAGTCCACAGCACTTGCCAAGAGGACATACATGTGCAAATGAAATGGGAGCCCCAGGGGGGCAGCGGCCCCTTCTGCTAGACACAGACATGCAGGAGCAGACTCAGTTCTCAGTGTTGGAATCAGGCAGGGCTTTTCTGATCGTTTGAGCAGAGGATTGCGCTGTTCAGGAGGCCCCAGTTTGAGTGTTTTATGCCCCTTATGCTTCTCTGTCCATCCCAGAACTCATTCTCACCTTCTAGTTTGTCAAAATACTCTCTCATCTCCTTTCATCTCAGATACAAAAGACAGGCAACAACCTCAAATATAATCCCAGTTGTATTTGCATTTTAACGTGGTCTAGACTGAATAGATACAGCCCTGCCTGCCTCCATTGTCCAGTAAGGCAAACGGGGTGAGGTTTTGGCTCTCCTTGTGTCCTTATCGTTACTCTGCCTTAGACCATTGCCTCTTTGGCTTGCAAGTACATCTGACTTTTTCTAAGTCCTGAAAATCTGGCTGCTAGACCCTCACCTGGCACTGTGCCTGGAGAGAGCCATTTCCATTCCACAGATGGGGAAATCACCCTCTCTACTGGTCATTTCATGAACTGTTGCAGACTCATTGCTGAAATTTCACTGGATTGTGGTGAGGGGGTTGGGGGTGTTGAGGATAAGGGACCGGGATGTGCCAGTTCATTTCAGCCATATCATCAAACCTGTAGCAGTCACTTGCCCCAAACACACACACTCAGACACACACACGCACACCGAGACCTCCCACTGCCTGGATGGAAGGTCACACTGCATGGGGCAGTGGTGAAACATTAGCTATCAATGACCTTTCTAGTGACGCATGAAGCCAAATCATGGGATGGTCTATGCGAGAACAGCCCAGTGACTCAGCCTAACTGGAGGTAGAAGTTGTCCAGGACCCCACTTCTGTGAAATGGGAGACAGCATGCTGTTTTTCACCAAAGGCTGCTCCTTTGTGGAATCCCTTGGGCGCCCTTGGGCTGTGCTGCTCCAGGCCCCACCCAGTGGCCCAGTGAGGGGTTCCCTTCCACAGGAACCCCTCAGCCACACCCGCATGCTTTCTCCATTCCCAGTCCCTGGGGATGAACAAGCAAGAAATGGTGGCCCTGCACTCAAACAGCAGATGCACGTGGGGCAACAGGATTTGGACACGGTGTTAGCCTCGGAGCCAGGTTACTTGGGAATCTGTGAAAACAAGCTCTCCAAGTCGGGATAGATGCTCGCCTGTGCCTGGAAGAGTGAAAGCACCAATCCTCAGCATTTCTCCCCCATTGTATGCTTCTCAGGGAGAAAAGGACACGACTTTCTCTCTTTCTCTCTCTCTCTCTCTCACACACACACACACACACACACACACGAGTACTATGTATTTCTGCAACACTGGGGTAAATGGATGAGGTCTGTGAGTGGAGGCCCCAGCATGATCTCCAGTACCCCAGCTTCTGCCTCGCACCCCAGGGCCAAGGACTCGCTCCATGGCATCCCTTAACCCAGAGGTTCCCAAACTTGGAATCACCCGGAAGGCCTGTAGGAACACAGTAGGTCTGAGGCGGGACCCAAGACTTTGTATTCCTAACAAGGTCCCGAAGAACCCTGGGATCTTGCTGGAGCTGCTGTTTTGGGACTATACCCTGAAGGCATCGCCCTGCAGTAGCTGCCCCAGGCAGCCGAGAACAGCCACTGCCTCTCTCCACCGTGGCTCCCGGGCTGTCCCAGAAACACTCCCTCTGGCCTGACTGGAAAGATGACCCGGCTGTTCTTTTCTTTACGGAAGGCTTTTGTATTTCCCCCATGAAGAGGAACAATATAGAGATTCGGTTTCTCGGGCAGCCCGGCTGTTCCAAACCCGTGGGTGCATCTGTGACTGTGGTGGGGAAGGAACACAGATGGTGCTGCGAGGCCGTCTCCAGACTGTGGAAGCCACAAGCCACTGGCGTCTGCTTCTGTGGAGAAACAAACTTCAGCCACCCACGGGCGCCCCCGCAAGGGCCGGGCTGATTCCTCGAGAGTGGCTGGCGCTGGGCCTGCACAGCACTCTTCCCTACTCTACGCTTACCTTCCTCCCCTCCCCTATCCTCTGGGGCAATTCAGAAACGGAAGACATGGTGGATGTGAGAAGGGAGTGGAGGATAGGGAAAGGCGGGTTGGAAAACCTGGCCTGGAGGTAATAAAAGTGACTTCCCACCCAGTGAAGGCAGCACTGACACCCGCTCCATGCAGTCCCGGGATGGCCACCAAGTGAGGGAGCAGCAAAAAAGAGAAGACGCAGGGAAGGTGAGAAGAGGCTCTGCCCCGCAGACTGCACAGGAGATCCACCGCTTCCAACAGGGAGCATTCCTAGGTTTCAACCACAGCCCTCGTTCTTCTGAGAGAGCAGAGGCATGAAAGACAGACGTTCATTGTCTTAATTTTTTTTTTTTTTTTTTGCTCCAGGAATTACCTAGAGATCCCCAGGACTGCCACGCTGGGCCAGACTCACAGGACACTACTTCCCTGAATTATTCGCTTCTAGAACTATGGATGATGGGTTCATCTAACCCTTCCTTGATTTGTTTGTTTTCACTATGTTATTTATAAAGATAATGGGTTGTATGATAAATACTTCTTTTTTCTTTTTTTCTCTCTCTCTCTTTTTTTTTTTTTTTTTTTTTTTGAGATGGAATCTCGCTCTGTCGCCCAGGCTGGAGTGCAGTGACGTGATCTCAGCTCACCGCAACCTCTGCCTCCCGGATTCAAACAATTCTCCTGCCTCAGCTTCCCACGTAGCTTGGATTACAGGTACCTGCCACCACGCCTGGCTAATTTTTGTAGTTTTAATAGAGATGGGGTTTCACCGTGTTGGCCAGGCTGGTCTCGAACTCCTGACCTCTGGTGATCCACTCGCCTTGGCCTCCCAAAGTGCTGGGATTACAGGTGTGAGCCCCCGCGCCCGACCTTCTTTCTGTCTTTAAATTATTTCTTAAAATTGATTCTCTCCTTTGGATGTTCATCCCACAAGTTGATTATGGAATTGGTTCATTTATTCATTCAACACACATCTAACAGCACTTTGGGCCAGGGGTTGGGGTTGCAGAGCCAAGCAGGACCTCATGCTAGCTCTTTTAGCTTAGTGAGGACAGACATGTGGAGAACT
Organism: Homo sapiens; assembly: GCF_000001405.40. Lineage (NCBI taxonomy): Eukaryota > Metazoa > Chordata > Mammalia > Primates > Hominidae > Homo > Homo sapiens. Next base: position 212,918,060 of record NC_000001.11, read on the forward strand.
TCAAAGGTGAGAAAGTGCTAAGGAGGGGCCACACGGCATGTGTGGCACATTAGTGAGGACGGCTCTGCAGAGGGGTGGGTGTGCTGGGGAGGGAGTGACGGAGGAAATGGCATGGCGGAGCTGAAATTTGGGCCGAGTCTGATGGGGCACCCACCAGTCCCCCTAGTGAGAACTCCTCTAGTTTTCTATCTTTTACCACAGACAGGAGTTTCTGCCCTTAGCAAAAGCTGCAAGTGCAGGAGGACCTGACCTCCCCAGTCTTCCTTTCGATCTCAGGTTTTCTTCCTGCACTGTCTGAGCTGACTGTTCCCAAAGGACACTTGGCTGGTAAGTTTTATGCATTCCTGTCACTTCCTTATCCTCCAAAATAAGGTGGGCTCTTGAGAAATGGGAAAGATTCTCTGGAATTTGAATGGTTCACAAGAAGTCTCTTCTGGACAGGGGACCAGATCTCATAACGGTTCCTTTCCAAAACTCAAATTTAGTGTGCACAACAATAAACAGGAGTGCTTATAATTAAAAAAAAAAAAAAAAAAAAAAGACACAGATCGCTCAAGCTCACTCCCAAAAATGGATTCCTTAGACCCAGGATGGGGCCCTGGAATTTCATTTTTCACCAGCATCCCCATGTTCCTGCAATAATTGGGCAGTGGTCACCTTTTGAGGACTACTGACCCCTTAGAATAAAGCCCTCAAGCCTTCGAAGGCTGTGGCCACCTATTTGGAGGACCACCTGGGCTGTTGATGAGTAGGGAGTTTCCTCCTGCAAATAGTGCTCTAGGGGGCTTGGCAGATCTGACAAAGTCCCTGGCTTGGGAAGAAGCCCAGCTGGTGCATGGTGCAGGTCTGGGAAAGTGCTCATTGGTGGCTCTTCTGCAGAAGGGGTCCCAGGGGACATCATTCACTATGCCATCAGTAAGCAATGCTGGTCAGGCTCTTGGCTAGAGGGTTGCAGTCCTACTGTAGGAGGGGCTAAGCATATGCTCCATCTGTGGAGAGGATGACAGTTCCTGAAGGGCCTCATCTTCATCTGCATGATCTCATTTGACCATTGCAACCACCCCATGAGGGAGGCAGGCTTTGAGCCACGTAACCAGTGGCAGCACCAAGAGATGTCTGGGAGGGGCTCAGTATTGCCCTGGTTCCCAGTCCCCAAGGCTCCCGAGCCATCTCTAGTTAGCCTATAATCTAAGCAAAAGATAAGTCTACTGAGATATCTTGTTGGGCTATACCTAAACGTTTGAAATGTCTATTTTATACTGAGTTTGCCTAAATGTCAGCAATTTTATCATGACCTAGTATTCAATTATGAAAACAAATCATAAATAGAATAATATTGTTTGCATTTGATGTTCATACTATTTCTCTGAAGAACTGAAGACTCACCTGTACCAGATGTGTTGTTGTAAAAATAATAAACAATCTGTAATAAAAAGAAATGGCAAAGCCAAAAAAAAAAAATCTAAGCAAAAGAGTGTGCCTGTGCTTTCAGGCCCTTTTCTAGCACCCTACTCCCCTTCTTTAGGGTACATTGGTGTTCATAAGTGCCTCCTATAAAGAAGCCTGGAGCCTCACTCAACCAATCATTTTGCAGAAAAGTAAACTCAGACCCAGGCTTACCAAAAGATGCATGGCTAGAAAAGAATGGAGTCGGAACGAGGGCCCCATTCTTGAGATTCCCAGGGGAGGCCTTTGCTGTCTCATTCGGCTTCCTTGGGAAAGAGAAGGTCAGATCAACCTTGAGCAGGGAGTGGCTGGCAGCAGCCTCAGCCTCAGGCAGGTGCCAGTCTATCCCCACAAAACAGAGGGATGTCTCCAAGAAGGAGTCCGCACTGATGACCAGCCTGAGGGCATCAGATGTAGGCTGCCTTCCACCTGGCATGGAACTGCTGCTGGCTCTTCTGCCTCCCAAGGCCTGAGACACGATTGCCTGGATTACTCCATGGAGCCGGGGCCTGTGCAGACCCTCAAGAGAGGTCTTTTGCAGCCAACCTGTTGGGCAGCTGCCCTGGTGCCCTCAAGGTGCCCCCCTTTCTGTGCCCACCTCATCTTTGGGGCCTCACAGTGAGGATGTGGCCAGTGACAGGGGCTGGGGAAGATACACCAGGGTAGAGAGGTGGACACTCCGGGCTTCTGGTTATGATGATGATGATAGCCAGACTGGTGATTCCCAAACTGGAGGGTCCTTGGGATCTTCTGGCAAGGCAAAAAGTCCAGCATGCCATATCCACCGACTCCTGAGTCAGATACCCGGAAAGAACCTGAGGTTATCTATGTCAGGCTCTCTGATGACGATTTTGTGTTGAATAAAGTTTAAAGCACAGATCCATTCATGCTTTCTCATGTTTATTTTAATGACTGTTAGGTACTTTCAAGTCTGTGGCCGGAAATGTATCTTTAAAAAACCACCTTGCTTTTGAGTGATCTGTACTCTGAGGGTCTGTGGCCCACGTGGTGCACCCAGAAGAACAGTGGGGCATCCAAGGACCACCATCCCAGGCTCAGAGGGCTGGGCACTGGCATCTGGGGCTCATGGTGGCCGAGCTGCCGCATGCTGCTACAGGGGCCCCCATCCATCCTTCCTCTGGATGAGCCGGGCAGTGGCTTTGCTGCTCCTCCTCCCTCACATCCCGATCTCCACTCTGCACCTCTAGCTTGGAGTTCTGTGCTCTCCCAGGGAAGAGGGGACTCTGCCTGCCTTGGTACCCCCTGAGGATGATGGTAGCATCTTAAAGCCTGGACCCTGTTGGGTTCATCGGTCCAACCACAGATGCCTCTTCCAGCCAGCTGTGCCTGGTCCCTATGAAATGTAAATGTAGGTGGGTTCACCCTTCTGGAAACAGACTTTGGGTCTGGCTCCGGGCTGGACTCTAATTCAAGTCTTAAAAACTGTCCAAGAGGCAGACCCAGGTAAGCCCCATGCTGGGCACTGTGGGATTCCCAGTGCCTTCTAGAATTTGCTTCCTAATCTACGTGTTGTCATTGCTGCCACCTCAACCCCAAGTTTGTCCCCAGAGCTGGAGGCTTGACTGTTGTTCACTTTATGGCCACTGGAGGACAGTAAGAAGCACTTTCCCATTTGCACCCTTCCCGTGGGCCCCATCCATTCCTACAGCAGAGACTGTCAGACCTGCGTGCACCCCAATCATCTGAAAATCTTGTTCAAATGCTTTTGTCCTGTCCCTTACTTGCCGTGTGACTTGGGGCAGGTTACTGACTTTTCGGAGCTGAATTTCAGATTTAGCTGGTTTGGGGCTGAGAGTTTGCATTCCTAAGTTCCTTGGCGATATGGCTGCTGCGGATCAGGGAGATCATCAGAGGCTAAGATCCCCTGCAGTCTCCTGGGAGCCTGGCAGCCTGGGATTTTGCTCTCCTGGTCTCACAGGAAGCAGGTGGAAGTGGCCACGGCTCTCCTCCCTGGAAGGTTCCTCTACCACCTCCACCCTTCAACATCCCTTATTGCTAAATCCCTAGGGAACCTTGCCACCAGAGGCCTCCATGGCCAAACAATGAACCTTTCTCCAACCACAGGAGCTCAATAGAGGGTAGATGCCCTCGGAGAGAGAATAGGAAGAGGAGAAAAGTAACTGGAGAAGGCTGGAGAAGAAGGAGACAGGAGGAGTGAACCCTACACATGGATAGTGGTCCTAGAGCAAGTTGCAGACAGGACAGCCACCATGGGTCTGGGCGCCTGAGATGGGAGACAGTTTGGCCCACTAAGAAGATCCTGGAGGCCGAGTCCTAGAGGCCCCTGTCTTAGTCTGTTTGGACTGCTATGACAAAAATACCATAAACTGGGTGGCTTATAAACACTAGCCATTTATTTCTCGCAGTTCTGGAGACTGAGAAGTCCAAGATCAAGTTGCTGGCAGCTTTGGTGTCTGATGACAGCCCATTCCTCATAGTGGCTTCTTGCTGCCTCCTCACGTGGTAGAAGGGGTTAGCCAGCTCTCTGGGATCCCTTTTATAAGGGCACTAATCCCTCATGACCCCCTAAGAAACCCACCTCTCCCTACTTTCACATTGGGGGTTAGAGCTGAACATGTGAATTTTGGGGGAACATAAGATTCAGCCCTTTCTGCACTTCCTCCTGGGTACCTTTCCCAGGCGCCTGTGGCATACGACTGAGTTCTGGTTGGTGGGATGTGGGTGGAAGTGATGCCACTCCCTGGCCTGCAGAAGCCTTCCGTGTGACTCTGCACTCACTCCCTCATGTGGTGTGTCACTGGGATGTCAAAGCCCTGGGATGCCTCGGGATTCATGCCTTGAAGATGATGGTACCTCGGCACCCTAAATGGTTGCATGGAGCCCAGCACCCCCTCCCCAGGCCCATCAGACTTTACATGAGAGAAGAGTGAACTCCTATTGAATGAAGCCACTGGGATTTCAGAGCCTACCTCTTACAGCATCTGCCATTACCTTAACCAACATATCCGCCCCATGCTCTGATGTGAAATGAGAAAGAGCAGATACCACCATACTTCATTAGCTTCATCACAAGTACATTTAACATCTTCTGCTCCAGGATAATAACAGTCACCACAAACTGAGCGTTGATCATGTGCCAGCCTTTGTTAGTAACTGCTTTGCCTGTATTAATTCAGGCAATTCTCTTCACAACAATCTAATGGTTAGTAAAAGGTGGTGCTATTACAATCCCTGTTTTGCAGATGCAAGCTGAGTTAGGTGGCGGGGTGCTGTTAGGTATTGTGACCAAGGTCACACAGCGATAGTCTCTAGTAAGAGGCCATCTGTCTCTAGCCCTCACATGCTAAACTACACCATCTGCTCCCCAAAGACGCAAGGCCCAATCCTCAACTGTGAGGAGCTCGTGTTTCAATTGGGAAGACCTGATATATACCTGGGAGCGTGAATTTGGGATCAGGGAGCAGAATTTTTCTGACCCTACTGTTGCTTGCTAAATTCAGATATATATGACCCCAGAGTTGAAGGAGGAAAGGAAAATGAGATTAATGGGACAAGGACAGGTCCATAGTAACCTTAGGGATTTGAGCAAATAATGTATAAGTTTGAAAAACTCCATGTGAATCACATTCCCAAATTTCCCTTTCCCTCCCATTCTCTGCACCACCCTGCACTCTTCTTTAACTTTGTGGTTTCAGGTCTCTCCCAATAGTTGAACAAAGGAGAGAGTCAATAGTTGAACAAAGGAGAGAGCCTACAACAGTGCCAGGCACATAGTAGATGCTCAATAAATATTTGTAGAGTGAATTAATGGAGAGAAACAGTTGGCTGGAATTTGGCAGCAAGTTCCCATCTACTCAGGGTCTCAAATCATTGAATCTTATGGACCGTGGAACACTCAAGAAGCCATTTGGTCCATGCTTTGCTTCTACTGAGGACTACCTGCCAGCCACCCCCTCTTTCCTTTTCTTAAAGACTTAATGAGGCCGGGTGCGGTGGCTCACGCCTCTAATCCCAGCACTATGGGAAGCCGGGGCAGGTGGATCACCTAAGGTCAGGAGTTTGAGACCAGCCTGGTGAAACCCCATCTCTACTAAAAATACAAAAATTAGCTGGGCATGGTGGTGGGTGCCTGTAATTCCAGCTATGTGGGAGGCTGAGGCAGGAGAATTGCTTGAATCCAGGAGGCAGAGGTTGCAGTGAGCTGAGATCACACCACTTTATTCCAGTCTGGGCGACATGAGTGAAACTCCGTCTCAAAAAAAGAAAAAAAAAAACTTAATGAATGTCAGGGCTGATGGAGACCTTTAGATACCATCTAGCTCTGCAAGTCTCAGACTTGATCATGTACAGTATTCCAGCTGTGGACCCCACTCCTAAAGATTCTGATAGAAACTGTCTAGGTTGCAGCCTAAGCATGGGGATTTTTAGCAGCTCCCAGGTGATGCTAATGTGCGGCCAAGCTTTAGAAGAAGGGATGTCTTTCAGTCCCCTCCTTTTATGGACCCAACTTCAGAGAGGGGAGGGGCATGCCCAGGATTCTCCATGGGTTATTGACAGGGCTGACCCCAAATCCAGTGAGTGCTGCTCTCTACCCAAAAGGCATCTCCATTATCTGTTCAGAAAATGCATTTTAGGGTCTCCTGGCTCTTTCAGTAGAAAGTTCTTCCTTAAGTCACATCCTTCAAGCTTTTCCTTGATCTGCCCAGAGTAGATTTAGTTTGAATCCAGCAGAAAGTGCAGCTTCACTGAGGTCCTCCCCTCTGCTCAGTTCTGTCCTCCCTTTAAAATCCTGTGCATAGCTGGGGGCGGTGGCTCAAGCCTGTAATCCCAGCACTTTGGGAGGCCAAGGTGGGTGGATCATGAGGTCAAGAGACCGAGACCATCCTGGCCAACATGGTGAAACCCCGTCTCTACTAAAAATACAAAAATTAGCTGGGCGTGGTGGCACGTGTCTGTAGTCCCAGCTACTCGGGAGGCTGAGGCAGGAGAATCGCTTGAACCCAGGAGGCAGAGGTTGCAGTGAGTCAAGATCGTGCAACTGCACTCCAGCTTGGTGAGAGAGCGAGACTCCATCTGAAAAATAAAATAAAATCCTGTGCATTGATGTATTCCGTTTCTTGGAGAAGTCTCCGATGATGCACCTCCTTGGATGCCTCCCTCTGCTCTACCTCTTTGTCCCTTGCCACTTTGTTTCTGGCCTTCCTTCCTCCACCTGGCCTCTAGCCCGTTCATTCTTCTTTGGGCTAGTCCTCCCCAGATCATCACTGCCCCACTGAGCTGCTCCCCAGCAAGACCTGGAAATAAGTGAATTTTTGACTCCTCATTTTTCACTCCTTCATCCTTGTGACTTCCCTCCAGCTCTGCAAAGGGAGGGCTGGCCCCAGAGGATCCGGCTCTGTCTCCCTCACAGCTGGCAAACAGCTAACTTGAGTCATGGCCTTGGAACACAAATAATCTGTTCTCATTTATTTAAAAAATAAAACAAACCATCAGCAGCCAAAACAACACACTGATAAAGGCTTTGGTGAAAGATGATCCAGAGTAGATAAACTGTTCCTTAATCAGCAGTGTGGTAAATAAAACCCCTCTTGGGGAGCCTTGCTGAGGGTATTTTGGGCAGCCTGGAGAGTTTTTAACCCTCATTAGCCCCAACTAAAAATGGAGCCACTGGAATTTCTGCACGCAGCTGTTAAGCAGTGAGTAGGACTTTGAGTGTGTTATTACAAACACTCTTACTGATTATGCCTCCCAATCCCTCAGGAGCAGAGGAGGAGGCTGTTTTGTGCCTATCTTCCAGGGCTGAGATCACTGCTGCTCTCACGGTTTCCTGACAATTTCTTCACCTCCCAGCCATTCCCTTGGGCTGAGTAGAACATCCCCTGCTGCCTTTTAGAACTTTGCCAATCATGGCTGGGCATGGTGGCTCACGGCTGTACTCCCAGCACTTTGGGAGGCCGAGGCAGGCGGATCACCTGAGGTCAGGGGTTCAAGACCAGTCTGGCCAACATGGTGAAACCCCATGTCTATTAAAAATGCAAAAATCAGCTGGGCGTGGTGGGGGGCACCTGTAATCTCAGCTACTTGGAAGGCTGAGGCAGGAGAATCACCTGAACCTGGGAGGCGGAGGCTGCAGAGAGCCGAGATCACACCAGTGCACTCCAGCCTGGGCAGCAGAGTGAGCCTCCATGAAAGAAAGAAAGAAAGGAAATGAAAGAAAGAAAGAAAGAAAGGAAATGAAAGAAAGAAAGAAAGAAAGAAAGAAAGAAAGAAAGAAAGAAAGAGAAAGAAAGGAAGGGAGAAAGAGAGAGACAGAAAGAAAGAGAAAGAAAGAAAGAGAAAGAAAGAGAGAAAGAGAGAGAAAGAGAAAGAAAGAGAAAGAAAAGGAAGGAAGGAAGGAGGAAGGAAAGAAGGAAGGAAGGAGGAAGGAAGGAAGGAAGGAAGGACGATACTGAAAGCAGAGAATGATGGCTGAGGGAAGAGGCAGGAAGAGAAAGGTGTATAGAAAAATAATCTAGCCCAGAAAGGACAAAGTGGCCACTGCACACTGAGATGTCCCATAGATGTGTCTTCATTGGCTTGTACACTGTTTTGTGATGGAATTTCTTGCTAACAGTTGAAAAACCTAAATACTTCCTAAAAAGATCCAGATGTCTTGAAAAAGTGTAGCTCTGAGAACATGAGGCACTTGGCCAGCGATTGGTTGACGCTGACTAGAGGCTGCATCTCTTTTTTTTTTTTTTTTTTTTTTTTTTTTTTGAGACAGGGTCTCACTCTGTCACCCAGGCTGGAGTGCAGTGGCATGATCTCGGCTCACTACAACCTCCACTTCCCAGGCTCAAGTGATTCTCGTGTCTCAGCCTCCTGAGTAGCTGGGACTACAGGTGTGCGCCACCATGCCCAGCCTAATTTTTTATATTTTTAGTAGAGACAGGATTTCACTGTTGGCCAGGCTGGTCTCTAACTCCTGGCCTCAAGTTGACCTGCCCACCTCAGCCTCCTAAAGTGCTGGGATTACAGACGTGTGCCACGGCGCCTGGCTGGAGGCTGTCTCTTTCTAAGGGGGACTGCCCTCTCCAGTTTGCCACACCCCTGTGCAGACAACTTCGCTTGTTTCTGTTATCTGTTGCCTCCCAGTTGACATCTGAGGCTACGACCCCTGATCTATTTCTACCAACCCATTTCCTGTAAGAAAAGCAGGACCCTGAGAGATGCAGAGACCAAAATCTAAGGCAAATGGGTGAGTTTGACTTAGCTTCCCTATGATGCATCATACTTAGCTTCCCTATGATGCAATTTCTTCGTTAATAAATGAGGAATATTGATAGTGCTTGTATTAGGCTGCCATAACAAAGTGCCACAGACTGAGTGGTTTAAACAACAGACATTTACTTTCTCGCAGTTCTGGAGGCCAGAAATCCACGATCAAGGTGTTGGCAAGTTTGGCTTCTGGTGGGGGCTCTCTTCCGGGCTCGTAGATGGCCACCTTCTCACTATGTCCTCACATGGTGTGTGTGTGGAGAGACAGAGTGTGAGGGAGAGATAGAAAGAGAGGCACAGTTAGAGGAGAGAGAGAAAGTGCTTTGTGGTGTCTCTTCTTATAAGGACGCTAATCCTATTGGATCAGGGCTCCACCCTTATGACCTCACTTAACCGTAATTACAACCCTAGAGGGTCCACCTCCAAATATAGTTGCTCTGGGGGTTAATGCTTCAACGCATGAATGTGGGGTAGGGGAGGACACACAACAGCACCCCTTTCCTAGGGAGGCTGTGTGAAGATGGAGTGAGTCCGTGAGAAGCACGGGGAACAATGTCTGGCATGCAGTACGTTCTTGGTGAATCTCAGCAATAATACATACTGGTCATATCGAGGGGAAGGGTTTCCTCCTGAGCTTTTTGCAGCACCTTTTCTGTCAAAACATGTATTTGTCCTGGGCACTCACTCTGCTCCCCAAATAGCTGCCATCTTTCATGAGGCCTAGGAAAGTGTTATGATTAAGGAAGACCTGTTGGCACGTTTCCTTCTTTTTAGACAGATTCTCCCTCTGTCACCCAGACTGGAGTGCAGTGGCACCATCTCAGCTCACTGTAACCTATACCTCCTGGACTCATGTGATCCTCCCACCTCAGCCTCCCGAGTAGCTGGGATTACAGGTGCCTGCCACCACACCGGGCTAATTTTTGTATTTTTAGTAGAGACAGCGTTTCACCATGTTGGCCAAGCTGGTCTCGAACTCCTGACCTCAAGTAATCCGCCCGCCTTTGGCCTCCCAAAGTGCTGGGATTACAGGCGTGAGCCACTGTGCCCAGTCTGTTGGCACACTTCTAATGCTGAACCCATTCCTCAAATCGGATGCTCAGGGAGGATCAAGAAAGAAGGTTGGACCCCCTTCCTATAGAGCCGTGGGCTCCTGGTCTCAATCCAGTAGTACATCCAGGAGTGGATTCAGCCTCTGAATGTGCTGGCGTTGACAGTCTGAACGCACCAATGTCTTGTTTTCCCTCACGTATTATTTGGTTCTGTGACGTCTGATCTGTTTTTCCCTTTTATCTCTGAGTGAAACACCCCCAGAAGGCATGGGGTATGTGCCAGTGTCCTGAAGATTGGGGATGCATGAGGTAGTCTCTGTCTGTTCCCCAAATCCACTTTCTTCCCTGCTCTGTGCACGGGAGGCTGCCCTCAGGGGGCTGGGCTCCTGGGGCTCCTGACCTTGCTGGCTCCTCCAGGCCTCAGTGGGAGAGCTTTCCAGATGTTTCCAGTCCTGGATGCTTCACCATCCTTGGTGTTTCCCTTCATCCTGCCTATACCTCTGTTAACATTCCCTTCACAAGTTTATTTCACTTACACCCTTTTCAGAGTTCCACCTGCACCCTGCTTGCCTCCTGACTGATACAGGAGGAATCTGAGCTGTATATAGTTTTCTGGGGAATAGTGGAGAAGTCTGAATTCAGATAATGCTGTCCAGTGGCTGGACATGAAGGGGATGCACCCATTGTGCTCAGGCAAGAGTTTCCGACTCTAATTTTGCTGACTATTCATAATACAAATCCTCCGGCATTCACTAAATAGGTAGGGACTGCTACCTGCCTTGCCCAGGACATTCCAGGCTGAGCTGAGATGAGCAGGTATAGCTCCCTTCACAGCACGCAGGTTCCTGGACCTTTGGAAACTCCCCAGCCTGGCTCCTGTACAATCCCAATGCCATGCCCCCAGCTTAACTGCTTGAGGTCTTGCTCATCTGACTGGACAGGCCTGTAGCAGTGTGTTCTCATTTCCGTTGGAATAAAGATGCTATCTTACTAAGCTCATTTCATTTTTGTCTTTCTGAAGTGCCAGGGAGCCCAAAGGGGAACTTCCACACACCACCCCTGCTGTCCCAAGGCATCTGAGCAACAGCTCCCCTCTGTATAAATCTGTCCAGGAAACCCCCGCAGAGGCCAGGGCCGAGCAGCTGCAGGATGGCTGCTTTCCTAGGAAGGCCAGGCACAGAGCCTGCGGCTGCACTGTTAAAAAGGTGACAGCAGGTTTCTCCCTGAAGGCTGCCATTGTAAGAGAATGCAGTTCTTTTACAGCAGATGATCCTCTTCTCTGGACAAAGAGGAGCTGTCATCCAAGAAAGGCTTAAATTTCTGCTCCCTCTCGCCAAATGTCCTCAAAGCACCCTAGAACCCTAAACCTGCAGGAAGGACCATTATCCAGGCCCGAGGCTCTCCAGTGGATTATTCAGATGCTAATTTGGCTCTTTCCCCTGGCCGTGGTCATTTAGTTTCTTATTCTCTGCCATTTTCCCCCTCCTCTGTCATCCCCCCCTCCAAGAGATAGGTCAGAGATGTAGATGAATCTGAAATTCCAGCCACTTCCCTTGGAGGCAAAAGTTTGAAGTAACAGGGCAGTACAAAGTCTTTGATCATCAGGACATCTGGGAAGTGTCTGTTATTACCACTTAAATCTATGTTCTTCCTGCTATTAAAAAGGAAAAGAAAGAAAAGGAAAAAGGAAATAATTATATTGAAATGATCTAGGTCTAATTCCCAGTTCTGACACTTACTAGTTACATTACCATGCAAGTTACCTAACTTTTTAAACCTCAGTTTCTTCTTTTGTAAAACAGAAATAATAATATGTATCTCACGAGGTTATTATAGTGGATATTTATTATGTATTTTCAGTCCCCATACTTTAAAACTTTTCATTCAGAAGGCCGGGCACCGTGGTTCAAGAATGTAATCCCGGTACTTTGGGAGGCTGAGGCGGGCGGATCACGAGGTCAGGAGATCGAGACCATCCTGGCCAACATGGTGAAACCCCGTCTCTACTAAAAATACAAAAAATCAGCTGGGTGTGGTGGCGTGTGCCTGTAATCCCAGCTATTTGGGAGGCTGAGGCAGGATAATCGCCTGAACCAGGGAGTCAGAGGTTGCAGTGAGCCGAGATCGCACCACTACACTCTAGCCTGGTGACAGAGAGAGACTCTGTCTCAAAAAAAACACAAAAACAAAAAAACCTTTTCAGAAATAATTTAAAACTTACAGAAAAGAGGCAAGAATAAGAATAGTACAAAGAACACCCATATACCCTTTACCCAGTTGCAAATATCATGCCCCTTTTTCTCTATATATTTCAGTGTGTATTTCCTACGACTAAGAATATTCTCTTATATCACCAATGTCGTTAATAAATGGATAGTTATTAGTTAACATGGATACAATACTTTTAATCTAATCTAATATGTATATTTCAATTTTTGTCAATTGATCAAATAATATCATTTATATTTTTTCCTGCAGGTCAGGATCCAGTCTATGGTTATCTATTACATTCAGTTATCTCTCTTCAGTCTTCTTCAGTTTGAAACATTTCTACAGCTTTTGTCTTTTATTGCAGTGACAGTTTTAAAATATGCAGTTTTGGGCTGGACGCGGTGGCTCATACCTGTAATCCCAGCACTTTGGGAGGCCGAGGTGGGTGGATCACGAGGTCAGGAGATCAAGACCATCCTGGCTAATACGGTGAAACCCCGTCTCTACTAAAAATACAAAAACTTAGCTGGGTGTGGTGGCGGGTACCTGTAGTCCCAGCTACTCGGGAGGCTGAGGCAGGAGAATGGCGTGAACCCAGGAGGCGGAGCTTGCAGTGAGCCGAGATCGCACCACTGCACTCTCTCCACACTGGCATTGTACTCTACACAAGGATCTTCCCTTTTTCCCAATTTATTTATTTATCCATTTATAACCAATATGGACTTATGAATTCCTATTTTTTTCCCAATGATTTGTAATTCATTACTGTTGTTATTTTGTACTGAAAGTGTCCCAGATTTGAGCAGTGGAAGCTAACTCTTTGTCCTTCTGCCTTTGTGAAATGCCCTTATTATTTTTTAAGCAGCTAATTTCTGACAGAATAAGATTGTGATAGTTAATTTTGGGTGTCAATTTGACTGGGATAAGTGATGACCAGATAGCTGATAAAATATTATTTCTGCGTATGTCCATGAAGTTATTGCTGGAAAATACTATCATTTGAATCAGTGAACTGAATAAAGCACCTGGCCCTTTTCAATGTGGGTAGCATCATCCAATCCTCCGAGGGCCTGAGTGAAACCAAAAGTTAGAGGGAAGGTGAATCTTCTGTCTCTGTTTGAGCTGAGTCATTCATTGTTTCCTGCCCTTGGATGTCAGTGCTCCTGGTTCCTGGACTTTTGGACTCAGACAGGGACTTAGACTATCAGCTCCGCAATTCTCAGGCCTTCCGACTCGGGCTGAATTATACCACTTGCTTTACCTGTTTGCCAGCTTGCAGACAACAGAGCACAACAGAGCATGGGACTTCTTGACCTCCATAACCATGTGAGCCAATTCTTATAATAAATAGCCTCTAATATTATCTCTACATAACCTGTTGGTTCTTTTTCTCTGGAGAGCCCTAATACAAAGGCAATCTGGGTTCATCTTGTATTTACCCTGCACCAGCCATGGAACTGGCCATTTCTTTTTTTTTTTTTTCTTGAGATGCAGTCTCACTCTGTCGCCAGGCTGGAGTGCAGTGGCACAATTTCGGCTCACTGCAACCTTCACCTCCCGGGTTCAAGCAATTCTCCTGCCTCAGACTCTCGAGTGGCTGTGACTACAGGCGCCCACCACCATGCCCGGCTAATTTTTGGATTTTTAGTAGAAATGGGGTTTCACTATGTTGGCCAGGCTGGTCTCAAACTTCTGACCTTGTGATCTGCCTGCCTTGGCCTCTCAAAGTGCTGGGATTAGAGGCGTGAGACTGCGCCTGGCCCTCGAAATGACCATTTCACCAAGGAGCCCTGGGTTTTGTTTTGTTTTTTGACAGCTGGGGAATGGTATTTAAAAACCAAAGTATGGGTTCCAGGCTTGCTCATTGCTACTAGAGCATCTTTGCTTCTTGGCTGTTTCAGCATATGGCACTAGTAAATGTACATATATAATACATACAAACATGCATAAATATGTAGATAAATACATGCATATATACATATTTTAGAAATGAGTTCTTATCAATACCTACAACTCCAATTCATCCTACAGGGTTTCTTTTTTTCTAAATTTTAAATTCCTTTAAAAATTTGTTTCCGCTGCTTGACTCAGAGCCACAGGGTTTTGTTTTTTTTGTTTCCCCTCATTCCATATTTGTATATCTCTTCTTCCATAGTGAGAACACTGTCTCCCAACAATATCAATATATTTATTTATTTGTTCAATCCTATAAGACATCTCGAATAGTCTCAGAATTATGCAACCTCTTTTTTTAAATGTATTTTTTTCATATAAAAACCCCGTAACGGGATGCAGCCTCTTTTGAACACACTCTTTTTATGTCTGTGGAATTTCCCACCATGTGAGTCTTTTTTCCCTAAGATAAAATCTAAAAAACTCCCTTCCCAGTCTTCTTTGTAGGTAGGGCACAAATAAGTTACCTGGGTTCCACCAGTTAACTTCACCTGTGTGGGATGCTGGTCCACAACAAAGCAATGGGAGGAAACAGGCTCTGCCCTAAACATCTATTTATCTGGTGAGAATGGCCGATGGCTGAAAAGTCTGGAATTCAGAGTCCACTGAGTGTGTTAGGTGGAGCTCTATACAGAAATGGCATTGGAGGTGGCAGCAAGGGCCACTCCAGCAAAGTCAATTTGGAGGCAATGCAAGTTGTGTGGTCTAGAATCAAAGGTGGTAACAGAAATTCCTCATCAGTCCAGTGCTGAAATGTGGTTTTGGATATTGACCTTGGAAGCTTAGCCTAAAGCATAGTTCTCTAGTCCTACCAGAAATTCTGTGAGCTACTCAGCATTCTTTAATAAATATTTTTTTTTCCTACGTGGGCAAACAGAGTCAGCTTTGATACTTATTATGAAGAATTCTGCCCCATAATTTTTTCTGATCATGGGTCATTTTCCTCTAAAAATTTTACATTTGTTTTTCTTTAGTTTATTGTTATTATTTTTTTCGTTGAGACAGGGTCTCACTCTGTCACCCAGGCTAGAGTGCAGTGGCACCATCACAGCTCACTGTAGCCTCAACCTCCCCAGGCTCAGATGATCCTCCCACCTCAGCCTCCCGAGTAACTGGGACTACAGACATGCACCACCACGCCCAGCTAATTTTTGTATGTTTTTTTGTAGAGACAGTGTTTCACCATGTTGCCCAGGCTGGTCTCAAACTCCTGGGCTCAAGCAATGTGCTTGCCTTGGCTTCCCAAAGTGTTGGAATTATAGGCATGAACCACCACACCCAGCTTTGTTTTTCATTTAAATAATTAACTCACCTATAATTTTAAAACTTTCTTTCTTTTTTTTTTTTTTTTTTTGAGATGGAGTTTTGCTCTCGTTGCCCAGGCTGAGTGCAATGGTGCAATCTTGGCTCACTGCAATCTCCGCCTCCTGGGTTCAAGTGAATCTCCTGCCTCAGCCTCCCAGGTAGCTGTGATTATGGGAATGCACCACCATGCCTGGGTAATTTTGTATTTTTAGTAGAGATGGGGTTTCACCATGTTGGTCAAGCTGGTCTCAAACTCCTGGCCTCAGGTGATCCACCTGCCTTGGCCTCCCAAAGTGCTGGGATTACAGGCATGAGCCCCCCTAGCCTTCAACTTTTTTTCTTAAGGCTATGTCTTAACCAAGGTTCCCTAAAACTTGCTTCTCAAAGTGGGGTCCTCAACTAGCAGCATCTGGGAGAGTTATTAGAAATGTAGATGCATAGGCCTCACCCCAGACTCACTGAATCAGAATCTGCATTTTAATGAGCCCCCTAGGGGATGCAAAATTTGAGAAACACTGCCCTAAAAATAGAGCCTGAAGCAAGGATTAAGTGCTGATGCTTTATTTGGGGGGTGTTAACTCAGAATAACAAGAGTAGGAAAAAAGAGAACTGAGGCAAGGAAAACTGGAAGCATGCATGGTGGTGGGTTTCTATTCTGGCCTCTTCTTTATAATGAGCCTCAAAAGACACTGCAGGTTGCTTGGCAGTTGTGCACACTTGACCATGTGGCAAGTGTTTGGACAGGCTGTATGGAGAAACCCTGCCTAAGAGAAATCCACCAATGGAGGTAGGTGAGGGAATTATCCTCATAAACCTCCCATCTCCTGTTTCCCAATGGTTGCTCCACAGGGAGTTAACCCTTATGCTTCTGGGTGACAACACTCAGACACTTTGGTGGCCATTCAGAAGCCAGATTACATATCCTGTTGCATAGTATTTTATCCAAGTGTGGAAGTGGCAGGAGGAGCCAGAGAGTACATCCACCAGCTAGTCACTCTGGTTATACAACAGCAGCCAGAGAGAAGGGCCTGGGCAGTGGGACTGGGTGGAGCTGGTTGGCTACAGCAGCAGTCAAGGCCAAGGAAATCTGAGAAGATGTCAGAAGACATATCCAATACAGCTTACCCGTTCACCAATCAGAAAAGTTGTGTGGTGTAACATGCCAATGGATAGGACCTTCTGTAAGCTTTAGATGGTGGTGCTGGTTGAAGCCCTGTAGACAATTAAAGCAAACCCATATATGCTATGCATATTGATTCTGGTAAAAATAAATCACTGCCCCAGAGTAGAAGGCATGCCTTTCCATTATAGATGGCTCCCACATTAGAATATAGAGCTGCCATTCCTTAAAATAAAATAAAATAGAATAAAAACTCTTTACCTCTTTTCTAAGAGAGGAAATACAAATCCATTTATTTATAAAGTTCCCTTTAAGGTTGTGGGCAGTTGCAATTTTCTGGAAGGCCTAATGGAAGAGACAGATGCATCAAGCTACAGAAGGCTTGATTCAAGCTACTGTTACTGGTCCTAAGGCTATAATTGATATTCATCATCTCCCTTCTCCACCACCCATGCTAGACTTCCTTCTTGTCCAACACTTCAGCTGATTCATCTAGATTGGTTGCCTGATTGGATGATCTTCGTATCTAGGGGAGGAGATGGGGATCTGAAGCTCTTAGTTGAATAGCCCTTATTGAGTTATAATTGCTTTACCAGGAGTGGAACAACTAGGAGGTATCTCAGTGAATCCCCTGGATTTCCTGCAATCCAAGAGGAATAATCCAGGCTGCTAAAGGTTTTATAATTTTTTTGGAGACAGGGTCTTGGTCTGTTGCCTGGGTTGGAGTGCAGTGGCATGATCATGGCTCCCTGAAGCCTTGCACTCCTGTTCTCAAGCGATCCTCCTGCCTCAGCCTCTTGAATGGCTAAGACTATAGGTGTGCACCACCATGCCCAGCTAATTTTTTAATGTTTCTGTAGAAACAGGGTCTCACTATATTTCCCAGGCTGGTCTTGAACTCCTGGGCTCAAGCAATCCTCCCATCTTGGCTTCCCAAAGTGCTGGGATTACAGGCTCATTCATGAGTCTCCACACCTGGCCAATTATTATAATTATTGTACTTTAACTCCTTTCTTTGCCCACCGACTTGCGGTGCTTAAGGCAGCCAGGTAAGTAGTTACAGATTCCAGGTCAGTGGAACCTCAGTGTGTGCCCTCACAGAGATATCTCCTGGGAAACCAGAACTTCTAACACAACAGAGTCCAAAGTTCCGGAAACAAAAAGCAAAAATTCCTCAAATGTATCACTGGGTATAATAGTGAAAGGGGCCACTTCTACTTCCATCCCTTGGTTTCTGGATTCATTCTTTCTAGCCATTACAGATTAGTACCATATATTGGTCTTTATTTCAAAGTGTATAATAACCTGGAGGACTGTGCCACAACCCTGTGAGATGTTGTCGCCTCGCTTTGCCTTATCTGAGTCTCAGCAGGCTTTTCCACGATATTATCAGGTCAGCTGCTCTTGCATGTGTGGTACATGGTAAGGCCAGTAGACCACGGTCATCAGCCCATTTTCATTCCCTCTTTCACCATAAAATAGCTCTCCTGTTTGGAGGAAGTGTTACATGGGTTAATATGTCAATGGATAAGGTGTCTATGAGCTCTCAGATGGTGGTACTTCTGAAGTCTCTGGCAGGAAAGGCAAACCCATGTATTATGTTTATATTAACATATGTGTTTATATCTTACCCCTTCTGTTTCTACCTCACCCCTTGGTAGGGTGACCATAGGTGTCAGTTTGATTGGGATGGTCCTGGTTTACACCCACTGGTATTTACCCATTGTTCCTGTGTAATCATGACTAGCATTCCTTTTTGCTCTCAACAGTGACCAAATTTGGAGAATAAATTCTGTGGTTACCCTTCCCCTAGGAACACCATGCTATGTTAGCCGAGCACCATGAGTCCCTGCAGAGAAGGTCATCCTGATTGCCCCTCTACCTTGCTGTCTGTTGTGGTAAGTATGGCTGCCTTGTCCTTTATGGTGAAGTGCTCCCACCTGGCCCCTGCAATTCTGGGATTTTTATCATCTCCACTAACAATAGGAAACCCAGTTTCATAGCAGTCTTTTCCTTACCAACAACTCTGGACTACAAGGAGAGCAAGTACAACCCAACCCAACGCCTCCAAAAGCCTCCTCAATAGTGCATTCTTTTTTTTTTTCTTTTGAGATGGAATCTCGCTCTGTCGCCCAGGCTGGAGTGTAATGTGGCATGATCTCGGTTCACTGCAACCTCTGTCTCCTGAGTTCAAGCAATTCTCCTGCCTTGGTCTCTTGAGTAGCTGGGATTACAGGAGTGTGCCACCACACCTAGCTAATTTTTATATTTTCGGTAGAGACAGGTTTTTGCCATGTTGGCCAGGCTTGTCTTGAACCCCTGACCTCAGGTGATCTACCCACCTCTGCCTCCCAAAGTGCTGGGATTACAGGTGTGAGCTACCGTACTTGGCCAATAGTGTATTCTCTATTGGCTTAGCAGGGAGTGTCCTCTGGGCCAGCCCAGGGAACCAGGCAGGTGGTGGGTTCTTGAGCCATACCTGGGAAACACTTCAAATACTCCCACCTCCCTGAGTCTTCTGACTCCTTCCTCAATAATACATAAGGAAATCTGGCTTCTCCACTTTGCTTATTGTAGGCCATTGCTGAGACCAGGCTTTCAAGAGCCATCCCAGAAAACAACTAGGACAAGCTCCAGCCTTCCCCGCTGAACGTTAATTCTCACGTTCTGTATGTGTGTATTAGCCAGGGTTCTCCAGAGAGACAGAACTGGTAGGATATCTACACTGATATATAAGGGAATTATTATGGGAATTGGCTCAGGCAATTATGAAAGCTGAGAAGTCCCACAATCTGCTGTCTGCAAGCTGGAGAAACTAGGGAAACTGGTGGTGTAATTCAGTCTGAGTCCAAAGGCCCGAGAGCCAGGGTGGCTGATGGTGTAACTCTCACTCCAGGGCCCAAAGGCCTGAGAAGAGGGGGTGGGGGCAGCTTGGGTAGAAGCCTCAAAGTCTGTAGGCCAAAGAACATGGAGTTCTGATGTCTGGGGGCAGGAGAATATGGATGCCCCAGCTCATGAAGAGAGAGAGAGAGAATTTGCACTTGCTTTGCCTTTTTGTTCTATGAGGGCCCTCAATGGATTGAGTGATGCTTGCCCATATTGGGTGAGGGCAGATCTTCCTTACTCAGTCCAGGGAGTAAGAAAGTCAAATCTCTTCTGGAAACAACTCACAAAAATACCCAGAAATAATGCTTTACCACCTATCTGGATAACCCTTAACCCAAGTCAAGCTGACACCCAGTCGAGTCCACACACGTTTCCACAATTCCTGCCAGTCCACATTAGCCAAGCTCTGCAATATCTTTGGCAAATATGTTTTTTCCCCCTGGAGCAGGGCATTTTCTTCCCAGTATGGGCTGTGCTATAACCTGACTCTGGTATTGTTGGAGGCAATAAGGGGTGGGGCCAGGTCTTGAGGAGAACAAATCATGAGGAAGTGGGTCTTCTTTGGGCAGGAGACTTCAGGGCATTTGAATGGTCAAGATGCTCATCCACTCTTATATCCCTATCCCAGGTCTTATTGTCCCAGTCTTTTCCTATCTGGGCTCTCACTTTGACATGGCAGGCTGTCAAGGGCATGCGTTTAGTTTCCTTTGCCATTCTGCTACCCTTTGATCTTGGGCTTGATTTTAAGAGCCTATCCTATGAATACAGGAAATAAGACTTTCTCTTAAAGTTTCCATAGAGGCTTTCTGGCTTTAAAGCATTGTATGACTTGGCTCTGAGGCTATTTTTTGTTTCCAAGATCTCCAGTGCCTTATAATTATCATTGTTTCTGAGCTGATTATCACAGCCACTTGATCTTCCAATGTCTTGCTCTCCATACAGTTTACCCCAATTAAACCCAAGTGAAAGCTATGGTGCTATTGCATATCAGGGTTATCACCATCTGCCTTAGAGAGGTCTCTATTGATTTCAGGAAGGTGAGCTATACAAACCCAAAATTTATCTTGAGGATTTGCTTTCTAGAACTACTTGTGGACCCAGTTGTCTTAACTTATTTTCTCTAGAAAACAGAATCTGAAACAAAGATTAAATGCTGATTGGGAAGGCAGACAGAGTGAGTAAAAAGGGAAATGACATTGGCTAGGATGAGAAGCAATGCAAGGTGGCATGTTATCATATAGGCAACTGCTTCATGACCAGAGGCAAAGAGCCATGGCAGGTTACTTAGTAGGTATGTCTGCTCAGCCATACAGGACATCTCTGGACAGGCTATTTTGGAAAACCACAACTCAGAACAGTTCATAGGAGGGAAGAAAAGGAATTTATCTGACCAGCTCCCTCCCATCCTGGTTTGTTGGTTTTTATTTTTATTTAATTTAATTTTAATTTTATTTTTTTGAGACAGAGTCTCACTCCGTTCCTGAGGCTGGAGTGCAGTGGGGCAATCTTGGCTCACTGCAACCTCCGCCTGCTGGGTTCAAGCAATTCTTATGCCTCAGCCTCCTGAGTAGCTGGGATTACAGGGGTGTACCACCACAACGGGCTAATTTCTTGTATTTTTAGTAGAGATGGTGTTTCACCATGTTGGCCAGGCTGGTCTCAAACTCCTGGCCTCAAAATGATCCACCTGCCTCAGGCTCCTAAAGTGCTGGGATTATAGGCCTGAGCCACCGCGCCCGGCCTCCCTCCCATCTTGTTTCTCATTGGTCAATATGCTCCCCATAGGGAATTAATTCCCTAGGTTGCATCATCCAGCCCCTCTGGCTGCTCGGAAGCCAGATGCCACATCCTACAGTGTGGCGTTTCATCTGAGTCCAGAAGTGGTAGAGGACCAGAGACTCCAGACAGGTGGCTGGCCAGCCTTATTGTGCAGCAGCAGCCAAATGGAGAGCTGAGCACTTCTGGGCAAGTGACTAGTCAGTCGCAGATGGCTGAATGCACAGATCTAGTTGGCCATGGAGGTAGCTGTGGAGCAAGGAGAAAAGCTAGACCTAGGGAATCTGAGGCAGCACATGGGATGTGTCTGATACATTTATTAATAAGCTATTAATACACACATTGTCTTTGTTTTATATGGAAAATGTCAAACATTCATAAACATTGAGAAAATCATTTACTGACTCTGTGTACCCATCTTTTAGTTTCAACAATTATGAGCATTTTACCAACTGTTTTTTTACTGCAACATTGTAAAGCAAGTCCTAAACATTGTGTCATTTCATCCATAAATATTCATTATGTGTTTCTGAGATTTTACATAACCACGTCACTGATAAAGCTAACAAATTATCAATAGTTTTGTAACATTATATAATGCTTAGTCTATATTCAGATTTCCTTAATTCTCTCATACGAGTTTGTTTTATTTTGGTTGGTTTTGGTTTTATAGCTGTTTATTTGAAATAGAATTGAAGCAAAGTCCACACATTGCATTTGATTGCTATGTATCTTAAATCTTTTCAGTTCTATTTGGGTAATTCACCACCCCATCCCACACTTTTTTTTCCCCATTGCCATCAGTTTGCCATTAATTTGTTAGAGACAGTGTAACATTTGTCTCACATTCTGAATTTGACTGATTGTTTCCTTCTGGTGTCACTCAACTGTTTCTTCAATCCCCACTTAAAATTTTTTTTTTTTTTGTATTTTTTTGTAGAGTTGGGGTTTCACCATGTTGACCATACTGGTCTCAGACTCCTGGCGTCAAGTAATTCACCCTCCTCAGATATCCCTTTTATTCCTAAAAGTTGTTCTTTAGATCCAGACACTTAATTACGGGTTCAATTGTGTTTTTTTAAGGCAAGAACACTTCATAGGTGCTATTGTATACTTACTATGGCACAACACCATAAGGCTCATAGTGATGAAGCTATGACTGACAAACTCATGTGGAATTAATTTTCTTATATAGCAGGAGGTAGGAATCCAGCTTCAACTTGGTTGTGAGGCATGATAGCTTTTATACATTGCTGGATTCCATTTGTGGATATTTTGTTTAGGATATTTTCACTTATGTTCAAAAGTAAGATTATCAGTAATGTTCCTATCTTGTACTTTCTTTGTCTTATACCAAGATTTTACCAGCTTAATACAATTAATGGGGGAATGGTTCTTTTTCTGTTTTCTCAAAGATTTCATAGAGGATTTGTTTCTTCAATATTTGATGTGACTCAAGTAAAACTCTCTGGGTCAGGTGATTTTTTTGGAGGGTAAATTTTAACAGTTGTAGGACTACTAAGGTTTTCTATTTTTTCTCAAGTCAGTTTTGAAAATATGTTTCCTTAGAAATTTAAATTGTTAGCCGGGTATGGTGGCTTACTCCTGTAATCCCAGCACTTTGGGAGACTGAGATGGGTGGATCATCCGAGGTCAGGAGTTCTAGACCAGCCTGACCAATATGGTGAAACCCCATCTCTACTAAAAATACAAAAATTAGCTGGATGTGGTCACGGGTGCCTGTAATACCAGTTACTCGAGAGGCTGAGGCAGGAGAATTGCTAGAACCCAGGAGGCAGAGGTTGCAGTCAGCTAAGATCGCACCATTGCACTCCAGCCTGAGGGACAAAAACTCCAATTAAAAAAAAAATTAAAATTGTTTTCTGTTTGTTTGTTTGTTTTTTGAGACAGGGTCTCACTCCTGTTGCCCAGGCTGGAGTACAGTGATACAATCACAGCTCACTGCAGCCTTGACTTCCTGGGCTCATATGACTCTCCCACCTCAGCCTCCCGAGTAGCTGGGACTATAGGCCCATGCCACCATGCCCGGCTAATTTTTGTTATTGTTTTACTTTCAGTAGAGATGTAGCAGGCAGAAAGAAATTTAAGTTGTTGACTTTGTTTTCAAATTCATTGGCATAATGTTTTCGCAGTATTCTATTATCTTTTTAACCTGTCATATCTATAATTTCTCTTCCAACTTCATTTGTTTCTATTATTGCTTAAGTCATTCCTCTTGTTTCTTATTTGTCTTATCAGAGGTTTTTTTTTAGCTCATTAGTTTTTTAAAAAAATCAACTTTTGGTTTTGCTGATCCTGTCTCCCATAACTTTCTTTCTTTTTTTTTTAATTTATACCTGTTCTTTTGTTTATTATTTCCCTTTTTATTTTCTTTAAGTTAATTCAGTTGCTGTTTTGTAACTTCTCATGTTGCATGCTTAACTCATTACTGTTTAGCCTTTCCTATCAGTACTAGAAGTGGGATCCTAAACATGTGATCCTATCACAGTGATCTGTTGGCACACGGCAAGGAAATACACATCATAGGCTGGGAAGATAGGAACCTAGGTTATGTAGTAACAAAACACTTGGTAAAATGGTTACTTGCAGTGACTTGATTGCAAATCTGATCAAGTGCCTACTACTGATTCAGCTGCTTCAAAGGAAGTTGTTGGAAAGAGCCAGAGTGTTAGCATGTGTTGGTTATCTTTTGCTTTGTTTAGTAAGGTTTTTAGATAAAGAGATGATCCCTGGAAAGAATTGACTAATACATGAAAAATGGAAAAGAATGGACTGAGCACAGATATTTGGGGCTTTCTTGTGTTAGAAAAAAATTGCTTTTAGACCCCAAATACAAAGTAAGACTAATAAAAGTTTTGAATGACTAACGCCAATTAACACTTTCTAAAAAAAAAAAACAAAGTGATTGAGTCTATGGCAAAGATCGGATTGGAAGTTTAGACTTCTCATTCAAGCCTATTATTTCAGATGGCCTCAAAATAACCATTATTAGGTGAAACAGAAAGGCATGGGAACAAGGAAATTAATGAGGTTTGGGAATTTTATTTAAAAGAGAAATTTGGATGTGCTTGTTGGCATATGGAACTATCTAGAAGCAAATAGGTTAGAAGGCTACGAAATTTGTAAGGAATTGTATAGCCAAAGAAATCACAAATGCAACTTTGAAAAAGGCTTTGACTATTTAAACTTTAAATTAATCCTAAAGTCCTTAAATTCACACCACCATGGCATTGGCTGTAAGAGCTCTGCAGCCCCCTAAGGATGTAGCCACTTCAGATGTGTCCATAGAAGAACCAGAGAGCAGAGTGAGGGGCTACGATAACACAGGATAAAGAATCTTTCCAGAAAGCAGAATCAGGGTCTAAGGAAGGAACTTTCCCTATCCTCAGGGCAGACTTCATAATGCCTGTTTCTCAGGGTGTAAGTGATAAGTTCTAGTGACTTTTTTTTTTTTTTTTTTGACAGAATCTCGCTCTGTTGCCCAGGCCAGAGTGCAGTGTTGCAATCTCTACTCACTACAGCCTTGAACTCCTAGGCTCAAGCAATCCTCCCACCTCAGGCTCCTGAGTAGCTGGGACCACAGTCATGTACCACCATGGCCAGTTAATTTTTTGTGCTTTTTTTATAGAGACGGAGTTTCGCCATGTTGGCCAGGCTGGTCTCAAACTCCTGGCCTCAAGTGATCCGCCCACCTCGGCCTCCCAAACTGCTGGGGTTACAGGTGTGAGCCACTACTACGCCCAGCCTGCATCTAATTTTAGTATCTGAAGTCTTTAGAGATTTAACTCTAGTTGTGTATGCTGACTCTTGATTTTGGTGGCTTGCTTCCTTGTGACTTGGTAATTTGTAGACATGGGTTTCTGTTTGCCTGAGGTCTTTAGGATTACCTGTGGGCCTGGGTTGAGGATGTGTTTATCCAGAGAAGATGTTCATTTGCTGTTTCCAGGCACCTAAGGACGTTATCAGCCTGGCACTATTTAAACATAATTTTTCAGCTTGGGTTTTCCTGAACTATCCAGATAGTATAAGTTAACTGCAAGGCCAGATAATATAGTTACAAACTCTTGAAGGAAACTTTTTTATTATTATGCTTTTTTTCTATTCAGAGCTGAGGCTGAAATGGACAAGTTATTTTTGTGGTTTTCCTTTGCTGGCTGGACTTTGGGCCAACTGTTTAACCTTTTCCAGTTTCAGTTTAAAACTTACAGCATAGATTTCTTGTGAGCATTAAATGACATAATGCAAGTGAGGTGCTTAGATTGTGCTTGACATAAAGTACTTGATAAGTGTTACTTTTTGTTTTGCTCTTTTTGTGGCAAGAACTAGATCCAAACCAATTAGAAATGGTACAAAACAGGCCAGGCATGGTGGCTCACTTCTGTAATCTCAGCACTTTGGGAGGCTGAGGCCAGTGGATCTCTCAAGCCCGAGTTTGAGACCAGCTTGCGTAACATGGTGAAACCCCGTGATATGGCTTGGATTTGTGTCCCTGCCCAAATCTCATGTCGCACTGTAATCCCCAATGTTGGAGGAGGGGCCTAGTGGGAGGTGATTGGGTCATGGGGGTGAATTTTCCCCTTGCTATTCTAGTGATAATGAGTTCTCATGAGATCTGGTTGTTTAGAAGTGTGTAGCACCTTTCCCTTTGCTCTCTTCCTCCTGCTCCAGACAAGTAGGATGTGCCTGCTTCCCCTTCACCTTCCACCATGATTATAAGTTTCTTGAGGCCTCCCCAGCCATGCTTCCTGTACAGTCCGTGGAAACATGAGCCAATTAAATTTATTTTCTTTATAAATTACCTAGTCTCAGGCAGTTCTTTTTTTGTTTGTTTTTGTTGTTGTTTTGTGATGGAGTCTTGCTCTGTTGCCCAGGCCGGAGTGCAGTGGCACGATCTCAGCTCACTGCAATCTCTGCCTCCCGAGTTCAAGTGATTCTCCTGCCTCAGCCTCCTGAGTAGCTGGGATTACAGGTGCGTTCCGCCATGCCCGGCTAATTTTTGTATTTTTAGTAGACACAGGCTTTCACCATGTTGGTTAGGCTGGTCTCGAATTCCTGACATCGTGATCCACCCACCTTGGCCTCCCAAAGTGCTGGGATTACAGGCATGAGCCACCGCGCCCAGCCTGGCAGTTCTTTATAGCAATGTGAGAATGGACGAATACATCCTGTCTCTACAAAAAAAATAAAAAGAAAAAATAGCTGAATGTAGTGATGTGCACCTGTGGTCCCAGCTACTCAAGATACTGTGGTGGGAGGATCACCTGAGCCCAGGAAGTCACGGCTGCAGTGAGCTGAGATTGCGCCACTGCACTCCAGCCTGTGCCTATGAATAGGTGACAATATATGTGATTCAGATACTACCATGGAATATATGCAAAATATCCTTTAGGGAAGTGAGAGATGAAGAAGCTATTTGATTTTTCTGAGACCTCCAGGAAAGACGCTTAAGTTCCTCATTTGGCATTCTCTTCTGTGGTCCTAGAACACAGCAGGATTGCTAAATCTCATGATTTACAGAATATTAGTGTTGATATTTAGTGAAAAAGTCAGTTCACTAGTTCAGTGCAGTGGTAACATCCCTCATCAGGATGATCATAGGCCCCGAACACATGGGCTGAACTTTCATCAGCCCCATGTGGGTATCAGCCTCATATGGGGTGTATTAGTTTGCTAGGGCCACTAAAACAAAGTGCCACAAACTGTCTGGGCACGGTGGCTTATGCCTGTAATCCCAGCACTTTGGGAGGCTGAGGAGGGTGGTTCACCTCATGTCAGGAGTTCGAGACCAGCCTGGCCAATGTGGTGAAACCCCATGTCTACTAAAAATACAAAAATTAGCAGGGCGTGATGGTGGGTGCCTGTAATCCCAGTTAATTGGGAGGTTGAGGCAGGAGAATCACTTGAACCCAGGAGACGGAGGTTGCAGTAAGCTGAGATTGCACCACTGCACCTCCAGCCTGGGCGACAGAGCGAAACTCTGTCTCAAAACAAACAAACAAAAAAACAAAGTGCCACAAACTGAGTGGCTTAAACAGAAATTTATCATCCCACACTTCTGGAGGCTGGAAGTCTGAGAGCAAGGTATTGGCAAGGCCAGGATCCCTCTGAGGGTGCAGGAAAGGGTCTGTTCCAGGCCTCTCTCCTGGATTCTGGTAGTTCCTTGGCTTGTGGCAGCAACACTCCTATCTTCACATGGTGTTCTCTCTGTGCACATGTCTGTCTCTGCATCCAAGTTTCCCTTTTATAAGGATATCAGTCTTACTACTCTGGTATGACCTCATCTTAACTAATTATGTTTGCAAAGACTCTATTTTTGAATAAGGTTACATTGTGAAGTGCTAGGGGTTGGAACTTCAACATACGAACATACGAATTTGGGGATGGGGACACACAATTCAACCCATAACTGGGTAGATCTTCCTCTGTGCTGTCAATAGAGGCAGAAACAAATTCTTCCTGTTCCTGTGTGCCACTGCCCGCCTACTCCTATGCCTCTCAGCTTTTTCTTTTCCCCTCCACACACCCATGGCTTGTTTGAAATATACATCCCTTTCCCTGGGCAGCTGCAGTAATTTCTCAGTCTTGACTCCCAGGCAGTGAAATGTGCTGGGAACAGATGTCTCCAAATCTGTTTGTGTCACTGTCTCAGATTCAGATGAAAGCCCAACTTACATGTACCAGGAATTTAGCATGTGTTTTTACATACCTTACCTCTCTGTCCTCACAATATCCCTCTAGAGTAGTATCATACCGTCTTCATGAGGAAATTAAGGCTCATAGATGCTGAGTAACTTACCCAAAATTTTACCATTAATAACTAGTAGAGCTAGAAATATGAACCATCAGGGTAGGATTTTGTCTTATTTCTCATCATGATAGCAGCTGGCATTTGAATAATGAGATATTATCTAAGTCCAGTTCTTCTCATTCCAAACTTTTCCACTACGCTTCCCTGCTATACCGGTAGTTATGCCAACAAATACAAGTGGCCTTTCTCTCAGAGGTTGAGCATCCAGCCACCATGTCCTTGCTCAAACTGCAAATTGGTCTTGTCCAATTTGCAGTGTGTATATGTGGCTGTGTCAGTCTTACTAACTACCAGAACATTCAAAATCCTTAATCTAACTTGCCTGGGTTCACTGGAGTGTCATATAACACAAAATACACAAGGAAATGGAGAACAAAGTTGGCCGGCCCATGCAGCCTAGTTCAACTGTCAAATGAGAAGGAATTCTGAATAAGACAGCCCTTCTGCCTGACAATGCCCTTGCTGAGACAGCACAATTCACTTCAGAAGCTTCCTTACCAGCTCTTTGGAGAAGTAGCAAAATCTCCTAACTATACTCATGTGCCATGCCACTTGGTTCTCCACTCCATCCCACTGCTGGGGAAGAGAAGAAAAGATAATTGGAATATTGGAGATGAACAGCAAAAGCTCTTCTCCTCAACTGTCAGGGAGTCCTGAGGTGCCTGGAGGCAGGAAGATGAACTGATAACCCTCTCAGGTCCCCGGGACTTTAATTCAGGTAAAGCAGGATGCAGGCTCTGGCTTAACAGGGTAATCGTAGGAGCTCGGACTTGACCTGAGTGGGGACACTGGGAAGTGATTCCAAGGAAGGTGACCCTTGCCAGACATTCTTCGATATTCACCAACTGGTCTGTTCACCTGAGCTTTGAGAGCTCAGTTTTCTCCAGAGGGACTGTCAGGTCAAATCCTCATTCTCTGCATACAGGTCCTCATCCTGAAATTCTAGTCTCCTGGACTTGAAACTCCCGGGAAATGTGGAGAAAAGGGTGGATTTGAGAGGTGAATGCAAAAAGAAGGGAAGAAGAATGTTCAAGATGAGAAAATAGATCACTCTCTGAGACATGTTTTCTTTTAATCAGGAAATGAAAACTGAGGCAATTATAGGTTGAGGGGATAATTTTCTTTCACTTCTTGCTTTTTTTTCCAGGTGTTCTTCTTGCAGTCAAATGAGTCAGACAATTTCATGAATTGGCCCATTTCCTTTGTCTCTATGAACCTAAGGTATTATTCTCATTATTTATTTTTGTTTTACTTTTAGAAATGGAGTTTCACTCTGTCAACCAGGCTGGAGTGCAGTGGTGTGATTATAGCCCACTATAATCTTGAACTCCTAGGCTCAAGCAATCCTCTCATCTCAGCCTTTAAAAAAATTTTAATTTTAATTTCAATAGTTTTTGGGGTACACATCGTTTTTGGTTACATGGATAAGTTCTTCAGTGATGATTTCTGGGAATTTAGTGCACCTATCATCTGAGCAGTGTGTATTGTACCCAATATGTAGCCCTTTTTTTGTTGTTTTTGTTTTGTTTTTGAGACAGAGTCTCACTCCATCACCCAGGCTGGAGTGCAGTGGTGCAATCTCAGCTCACTGCAACCTCCGCCTCCTGGGTTCAAGTGATTCTCATGCCTCAGCCTCCTGAGTAGCTGGGATTACAGGTGCTGTGCCACCATGCCCAGCTAATTTTTGTATTTTTAGTAGAGATGGGGTTTCATCATGTTGGCCAGGCTGGTCTCGAACTCCTGACCTCAGGGGATCTACCCGCCTCAGCCTCCCAAAGTGCTGGGATTACAGGCATGAGCCACCCCACCAGGCCCAATATATAGTCTTTTATCCCTCACACTCATCCTCCCCTTCCCGGCCCACCACTGAGTTCCCAAAGTCCATTATATCATTCTTTACATCCTCATAGCTTAGCTCCCACTTATAAATAAAAATATATGATTTTTGGATTTCCATTCCTGAGTTACTTCACTTAGAATAATGGCCTCTAGCTTCATCCAAGTTGCTGCAAAAGACATTATTTCATTCCTTTTTATGACTGAGTAGTATTCCATGGTGTATATATACCACATTTTCTTTCTTTCTTTTTTTTTTTTTTTTGAGACAGAGTCTTGCTCTGTTGCCCAGGCTGGAGTGCAGTGGCGCCATCTCAGCTCACTGCAAGCTCCGCCTCCCAGGTTCACGCCATTCTCCTGCCTCAGCCTCCCGAGTGGCTGGGACTACAGGCGCCCACCACCATGCCCGGCTAATTTTGTGTATTTTTAGTAGAGACGGGGTTTCATCATGTTAGTCAGGATGGTCTCGGATCTCCTGACCTCGCGATCCGCCTGCCTGGGCCTCCCAAAGTGCTGGGATTACAGACATGAGCCACCACGCCCGGCCTATATACTACATTTTCTTTATCCACTCATTAGTTAATGGGCGCTTAGGTTGGTCCCATATTTTTGCAATTGCAAATTGTGCTGCTATAAACATGCATGTGCACGTGTCTTTTTCATATAATGACTTCTTTTCCTTTGGGTGGATACCCTGCCATGGGAATGATGCATCGAATGGTAGCTTTAGCTCTACTTCTAGTTCCTTAAGGAATCTTGCTGTTTTCTATAGTGGTTGTACTAGTTTACATTCTCACCAGCAGTTTTATGCATGTTCCCTTTTTGCCACATCCACATCAAAATCTATTATTTTTTGACTTTTATGACAATTCTCGCAAGAGTAAGATGGTATCTTATGGTGGTTTAATTTGTATGTCTCTGATAATTAGTGATGTTGAACATTTTTTCATATGTTTGTTGACTGTATATCCTCTTTTGAAAATTGTCTATTCATGTCCTTTGCCAATTTTTTGATGGGATTGGTTTTATCTGGCTGATCTGTTTGGGTTCCTTGTAGATTCTGGATACTGGTCCTTTGTCAGATGCACAGTTTGTGAATATTTGCTCGCACTCTGTGGATTGTCGGTTTACTCCGCTGATTATTTCTTTTGCTGTGCAGACCCTTTTTAGTTTAATTAGGTCTCATTTATTTATTTTCATTTTTGTTACATTTGCTTTTGAGGTCTTAGTCATGATTTCTTTGCCTGAGCTAATGTCTAGAAGTGTTTTTCTCATGTTATCTTCTAGAATTTTTATGGTTTCAGGTCTTAGACTTAAGTCTTTGATCCATCTGGAGTTGATTTTTGTGTAAGGTGAGAGACGAGGATCCAGTTTCATTCTACATGTCCACTTCAGCCTTTTGAGTAGCTGGGACTACAGGTGTGTGCCACCACATCTGGCTAATTTCAAAATATTTATTTAGTAGAGACAAGGTCTCGCTATGTTGGTCCAGTCTCTAATTCCTGGCCTCAAGTAATCCTTCCTCCTCTTTCTCCCAAAGTGCTGGGTTTAAAGGTGTGAGGCACCACGTCTGCCCTATTCTCATTATTGAATCTATAAAGTTCTTGGCATGGGCTCTGTCTCAGGGAGCAGTGCAGGGCTAAGTCCAGAATCCAGGTCTCCTCACCCAAGCCCTGGCTCTCAACTACCCCTCAGGGGTCTCTGCCCTCCTGTGGAAGAGAAGTTCCAGTTCCATGACAGGCAACTTGTCAGGATAAGCATCCAGAAACTGACCCGCCATCAGTGGCACTTTGACAACTGTCTTCTTAATTCAAGGTTCACTTAGCATAGGTCTCATAACTGCTTTGCTCAGAGCTGGCCTGCTGGCCTGCAGTTTAAAGAGAAAGGATGCTATGGCCAGGATCCTCAGTGTCACAAGAGAGGAAGTCAGGGAATCACAGAACCTTACAGCCAGAACAGACCCTGGAGAGCGGGAGGTCTGCTCTCCTTTCAGAAAGAGAAGCTAAGGCCCAGAGCAGGGAAGTGGCTTGTCCAGGGTCACACAGCTGAGCAAAGTGACAAACCTGGACCAGGAGCCAGCCTTCAGGTCAGCAGTCTGGTGCTCTTCCCACCTCAACCTGCTCTCCTCTTTCTTAAAGAAAAAGAAAGAGAAGGTGTTTCAGTAGTGAGTGTGGGATAGCCACCCACTTCACCATGGTTTGGAAGCATCTCTCCATCCCTCCTCTCACTCAACAGCTGTGGCAGAACAGTCAGGGCCTGCCTGACCTCTTGAGTTTTATTGTCTCCTCTCAACTTGGGCTTAAAGGGACTTTATTAACCATGACTAATACCAGAGGATCCAAAGCTGCACCCACTTGTTAATTTTGAGGAATTTTTAAATGCGGGATTTAAAAAAGATTTAATTTCACGCATAGGTATGAACAGCCCCTCATCATCCCAGGTAGAGGATGAACAACTCATCATCCCGGGTAGAGGCAGGTAAGTGTGTCCAGCGTCCCTCAGGGAATGCTCTTCTGATGCCAAACCCTCTGCTTCCGCGGGGTCACTTCTCGGGTGGTTTTGTTTCTCCTCTGCTTCCACAGTTGCAAACCCTCGAAGTGCCACGACCCCTGGGGAAACTCGATCTTAAGTCCCATGGCCAAACGCTCCAGCCCGCGGGGCTCTCAGGACACCACAGCGATCGGATTTCGCGTGGCCGCCAGGCTCCCCCTACTCCTGTCCCCTCCCGCCAGAGAACCCCTGGAGCCAATCAGAGCGTCGCGGAGCCCGGGGTTGTAGAGTCCCGAGCCCGGGACCCGCCCCTCTTTGTTGCGGTGGCCAATAGACGCATTCGGAACATCGGCGGCTGCCCGGGTGACTTGGTTATATGTCACAGAATAACATTCGAGAATGGGACATGGAATGAGGCGACGGCCCCAGCAAGCCCCAGCAGCCCCAGCCCCAGCCCCAGGCCCAGCAGCAGCAGCAGCAGCCCCTGCTCTCCCGCCGCCCGGAGAGGCTCTGCAGCCATGAAGCCAACCGTCCCGAGGTAGGATCTTGGAGCTGCCGCGCGCCCTTCCTGCGCGCCGCCCGCCTGCAGCCAGTCCCTCCCGGTGATAGGCGCTGGAACTCGGGGAAAAGGGGGCGGATGGAGCTCTTTCCACTAGATCCCCGCCGGGGTCCGGGAGGGCTTCCTGGAAGAAAGCGGGCCGCCTTGCAAGCCAAGGCTGCTGCAGCGCCCTCGCGCCAGCTCTGGGCGCTCACATGCCAGCACGTTCGTGGCTCCCCTCCTCTCTTGGCCACATCTGAGGACCCAGGAATGTGTGGAGCCTTGCGGGAACCTCCTGTTCCTTCATGCTACACAAGCTGTCTTTCTTCTCCCCACATCTTGCGCTCCGCATCCCCCAAGCTCCTTGTGCCCCTCCATCCCCAACCCCCCGGGTTTAGGTGTGTGTGAAGCTTCGTGGCACATTTTGAGCTGCCTTTCTAGGTAATCGCAGGGCTGGAAGCCCGTCATCGATTCTCAGGGAGGCTGTCAGCGTGCAGGGGGGAGCGGGGAGTGTCGTGGAGACACTCCGGGACCCCTCACTCGGTTCCGCTGTGCGTCCACTTAGCTGTGGTGTCAGCTGTGTCTCCGCTGATTTCAGGCACCGCCGGTAAGCAGGGAGCCTCCGCGGAGCTCCCGCCGCCGCTCCCCCTTGGTGAGTCCTGCCGCAGCGAGAGGCATGGAGAAGGCCGCCCCCGCGGGGCGCTGATCCCCTCGCCGCGCCCGCGCGCACACGCCCCCCGCCGCCGCCGCCGCTGCCGCCGCCGCGCGCCCCCAGTACCTCGCTCCCCGCCCAGGCCCCACCATGACCGGCTCCGCGGCCGACACTCACCGCTGCCCCCACCCCAAAGGCGCCAAAGGCACCCGGTCCCGGAGCAGCCACGCGCGGCCCGTGAGCCTCGCCACCAGCGGGGGCTCAGAGGAGGAGGACAAAGACGGCGGGGTGCTGTTCCACGTCAACAAGAGCGGCTTCCCCATCGACAGCCACACCTGGGAGCGCATGTGGATGCACGTGGCCAAGGTGCACCCTAAGGGGGGAGAAATGGTGGGCGCCATCAGGAACGCCGCCTTCTTGGCAAAGGTCAGTGGCTTCCAGGGCGGAGTTGGGGGGCTGGGGGTAGGTAGGCAGCGATGGGACCGTTTCAGCCTATACATAGCAAACACAGGCAATCTCCATTTTCCTAGTCCTGCTACAAACTCCCTTCCTCTCCCCATTCCTTCCTGCCAGCCCTTTTCTAATTGAGATATTTAGATTGGAAGCCTAAGAAATGGGGAAGGGAGAGGTAGCGGGCTTGCTATCCTGGGACTGTGTAATTGGATTGTGCCAAGGTGTCTTTGAAGCTCCAGCCAAACTCTATTATTTACTCACCCCCACATACATCCTCCTTCAGCAAAAGCTAGAGCCACCAGGTACCAGCGATGCCAAAGAATGCACAGACCCCAGGGATCCCACCCTGCTTGTTCTCTTTGGAGTGTCTTGCTCCTCCTCTGCTCCCCTCTTCCCCCAGCAAATGATTTATTAAGCTGTGAATGAATTTGAAATCAACCAGTCAGACTTCTCAGTGTGAATAATTTCCAGACTTTTTGCCAGTTTTTTTTCTTTTCTTTCTGGTTTTTTTGTGTGTGTGTGTGTGACAGTGACTTTCACCTCTGAAACTTGCAAAACGGTGAACTCTCTCTCTCTCTTCCCAGCTTATTTGTGCTCCAAGAAAAAAGAAAGACTTTTGGCTGAGACTTAAAAGGGACTTTCCAGTACACATGATGAATTAGTCTCACTGGATAGAAAAAGAGGATGAGGAGTGAAACTCTCTTTTTGCCTTGGAGAGAAGCCAGTGAGCCATTTGGGTTTGGTGGCTAAGGATATCTTTACCGAGGGAGGGAGATGTACCCTGGTGGGAGTAGATACGTTATATGAAACATCAAAATGCAAACTGGGGAGAAATGCTGCCGAGCCTCGGGGTTATAGCGTGGCGGATGGTTTCCCCTGGACCCTGGGGACGCTGGTACGGCTGAGAAGATTCCTGGGCAGGTCTAGGAATGCCAGACTTGAGACCCGGAAGGCCATCTGGTTGATTCCCCAGCCTGGTGACAGCTGAGCATCTGAGCCTGCAGGCCAGAAAGCTGTGTGTGTCCTTGGAGAAGTGACAGAGCCTCTAAACTTCCTGCTGCAGTCAGTTACAGTGTTCTATTACTCTGCTGGTCAAGGAGATCTTCATTGTGCCCAACTAGAATCTTGCCTGCTTTAGTGTCAACCATAATTACCCTTGCTGAGTTCTTGAATATGAGAACAACCTTTGTTCCTGGTTTGCAGTTCTGACTTGAGAATTTTTCCTCCAGTGAGGAGCCGAGAGCCCTTAAACTTGGAAGAAAAGTGACCACAAGGAAAAAAACGCCTGTTCCTACTGTCCCATGCTGCCTTTCTTAGTAGCACCCGTACCAACCCTGCCTCTAATTGTGCTTTTATCCTTCCTCCAACCATGTATGCGGGTGCGCGGGGGGGGGTGCATTCTCTATGTGGGAATCATGGAATTTTGCTGTTTGTAGAGACCAGTCTCCCACCTCTCAACAGAATCCCCTCCTCTTTCTGAAGACCTCTTGGGAATGGGGAGCTTGCTGCTTCCCAGGGCAGCTGATCTTAGGCCTGGCCAGAGTCGATTGTTAGGAAGCTCTTAGACCAACCATAAATCCTCCTCGCAGCACCCTCCCACCCGCAAATCACATTTCATCACTGATTGTTGTGTTCCTCTTGCCTTTTGAATCAGGGCAGAGCATTGTCAACTTCCTTTGCTACTCACAGCACCCTTGAATGTTATGAGAGAGTGCTCTTAGGATGGAAGGGACTTGGAGTAAAAATCAAGGAACTGAATCCTAGTCTTGGTTGTATGACATCTAGCCTTGTGCCTCACTTAAGTGAGGTCATTCACTTAAAATCTCTGTCCTTAGTTTTCTCATCTATAAAATGGGAATAGACCAGACTTTGTAAGTTCTTTCCAGCTCTAAAATCTCATGATGTTATGACCCGTGAGTCTCCAGGTCACTAATGCTGATCTGTGTGATGCTAGAGGTCTGCTAGACTATGAGCCCTCAGGACTGTGACTTTTTCTATCATTCTGCTTCTGCTTCTTCCTTTGGCCTTCTTTGTCCACAGATAGCTCCTTTTGCCCTTTTTCTTTTCTTTTTTCTTATTTTGGAGACAAGGCCTTCCTCTGTCACCCAGGCTGGAGTGCAGTGTGTGATCATGGCTCACGGCAGCCTCAACCTCCCAGGCTCAAGCAATCCTCCCACCTCAGCCTCCTGAGTGTAGCTGGGACTACAGACACGTACCACCCAACCTGGCTAACTTAAAAAAAAATTTTGTAGAGACAAGCTCTCACCGTGTTGCCCAGACTGGTCTCAAACTTCTAGGCTCGAGCGATTCTCCCTCACTGGCTTCCCAAAGTGGTGGGATTACAGGTGTGAGCCACCGCATCTGGCCTTTTGCCCTTTCTTATATGTCATAGCTCCCAGACCAACTCACCCTCCTCCTTCTGAGACAATTCCTAGTTTGTCAGTAGTCATTTGCAAGCACATATGAAACACAGGCTTCTAAATCATGTCTGAGCAGTTTAGAACACAGACTGCTACTTCCTGAGACCTGTACCTGATTTTTCCATTATTGTAGCTGAATGCTGTGTTCTTAAGAAAGTGTTACCTTTTCTTTTGAGATGGAGTCTTGCTCTGTCACCCAGGCTGGAGTGCAGTGGTGCGATCTCGGTTCACTGCAACCTCCACCTCCCGGGTTCAAGCAATTCTCCTGCCTCAGCCTCCTGAGTAGCTGGGATTACAGGCACATGTCACCATGCCCAGCTATTTTTTGTATTTTTAGTAAGATGGAGTTTCACCATATTGGTCAGGCTGGTCTCGAACTCATGACCTCATGATCTGCCCACCTCGGCCTCCCAAAGTACCGGGATTACAAGTGTGAGCCACTGCGCCCAGCTGGTCTTCCCTTTTTTACACAGTGGCCACATCATATTGTACTTTTCATAGTAACTAGAAGGTTACGCGAAAACTGCTTCCAAGCCAGGAATCCCCAGCCCAAATGTGGACAGTCAGCTTTTTGGCCCTAAATATAAAGAACTTAACATTTCTCTCACATTGCATCTTAATGGTTGGTTCTCTATCCCCAGTCCTATCATGGTATCTCCCCTGGTCCTGACATTCCCCAAGCCCTGACCCCTGCCTAGGCCTTAACATGGGAAGAGCCTCAAAAGCTCCCTTTTCCAGGGGCCACTCCTCTCGGATTAGAGGGTTGTTTCTGTGCTCAGCATGGCAGACTCTTTCCTCTGGGGTCAAGTCCTTTTCTCCATCAACCAAATCAATATCTTACTGAGGAATTTGTACAGAAGAAGGGTGGTAGGGTGGCGGCGGTGGTAAAAGCTTGGCAGGCTTCAGGGGGATTAACCATTTTTGGCCATTGAATGTAGACTAAGAAGCAAAAGAAGTAGATGGGGGAGGTTTTCAAGGGCCTGCATGGAGGACTAAATGACACTTCATTTGACTACAGGACATTCCCTTAGCAGCCATGGTAACTTCTGCCTGAAGGTCCAGATATCCCCATCTTGCAGGGATTCCCCTGCTTTGAGATCCTCCTTCTAAATTTGTGACTGCAGGCCTCTCCCCTGGAGGTTGTTGAGTCTGAAGTTAGCAGTTGACGAGGTCAAAGGCAGGATTTTTCAGAAAGACTTTAAGGAAACAGCAAGAGTCAGTTGGAGGATAATAGCAGATGGGAAGCGAGGCTCAGAGAGAGTGGCCAGCCCAGAAGAAAACAGTGGGCATTCTAGGAAAATTCTAGGACAATCCTCCTGTTTCTTAACAGCTTGGAACTGGACTCTCCTTGGGGCAGAAAACCAGGATGGATTCAGCAAGAAACAGCAGTCGGTTTCTTGCAGACCTCACTTCTTGTGCCTTATTCTCGAGTTGATTCCCAATTGGAAAATAATTCACATTTAGAGGACCGAGCTTCACCTGAGTGAAGACACGGGAGTGTTTGGTACTAGAGACCTGGCTGCAGTCAAGGGCTGTCCCTGCCCGCTGCCACCTCTTGCAGGCATCTCCTTTCCTCCCCCATCCTGGATTGAGAACCTTCCGTCTGTCTGTCTGTCCTGCACCTCTGTCCCAGGCCCTTCACAGGTTCCTGGCTGCCTCTGTTGCAGGAGCCTGGGGCTCATTCTGGGCTCATGGGTGCTGTTTTGTGCTTCTCTTCCCAAGCTGCCAAAGAAGATTCTTCTGCCTGGTGCCTGCATAGTGTTTTCAGAGTAGGGATGACAAAAGGTTTTGAATTCCCCTTGCTCTTGTTAAAGATTCCTAGTGCCTGGGGTTCTTGCTGCCTCTCTGGTTCCTTTCCTGGTCTTTCCCTTCTCTGCCACACGGCAGTTCAGTTACACAACTGTCCATCCGTATCACTTCCCTTGCGTTCTTCCCACAGGTCAGTTGTGCTTCACAAGAACAGAGTGGAAGAGAGGCTGCTCACAAGAGCCTTGCCTGTGGTTTGTTTCATTGTTCTTTCTCTTGAACACCATCTTTCTGTCCACTCCACTCCCTCCTCCTGCCCCCTAGCCCTCAAGTTTTCTGGGGCCCCCACCCCTAGAAAACAGGCACAGTGCCTGTGTGAAGAGGTTGGTTTCGATCTGTTTCCTCTAGATTGTGCCTTCATCAGCCTGGCCACGGCTGTGGGGCTAACGTAGGCAGCAGGTGGTGAGACCGTTGAGGGGAAGGGCTACAGAAAGACAAAGTTGGAGTTTCAGGTAGTACAGCAATTGATGAAATCTGGCAGGAAAATAGCATGAGGAGGGACCCCAGTCACGAACAGAAAAAAGGGATATGCCCTGGGCTTTTCTTGAAAAGGTTGCACCAATTTATGTTTGCCTCGATCCTGTAGGAGAGCATCCTTACCAGCATTGGGTATCTGTATTTCAGCATGTTTTTGCTAATTGGAGAGGTGAAAAATGACATTTTGCAGTGGGTTTAATTTGCATTTCTTATATTATTAGAGCACTTAAACAATTTTTTCAAGTATTTGGTTATTATTTGCTTTTCTTCTTTTGTGAATTGTCTTTTCGTGGCTCTTAAAATTGTGGAGAGAGAGATATATATATGATACAGTTTACCATTTTCACCGTTTTTAAGTGTACAACTCTGTGGCATTGAGTACCTTCACACTGTTGTGCAGCCATCACCACCATCCATCTCCAGACGTTTTTCATCTTCCTAACTGAAACCTTGTATCCATTCCACACTAACTTTCCATTTCCCTCTCTCCCCAGCCCCTGGCAACGACCATTCTACTTTGTGTCTCTATGACTTTGACTACTCTGGGAACCTTATATAAGAGGAATTATTCAATATTTGTCCTTTTGTGATTGGCTTACTTCATTTAGCAAAATGTCATCAAGGTTCATCTATGTGATAGCATGTGTCAAAACGTCTTTCCTTTTAAAGGCTGAATCGTGTTCCACTGTATACCATCGTATATTCCGTGGTGCGCCACATTTTGTTTATTCATTCATCTGTCAATGGACACTTGGGTTGCTTCCACCTTTGGGGGCCATTTTTATTTTCACTGAGGCCTAAAGATTTTTCTTGTCACTTTGCATGAGCTCATAATGAATTAAGGGTATTAACTCATTGTCACCAATGCATCCCCAGGGAGCAGTGAACGTTTTCATCCTCTCCATTAAGGTAAGAAGGTATCTTCATGATGTGAAGCTCCCAAGTTGAGTGTCCAGGGACTCTGCTGCTGCTGTTTCTGTTTTCCAGTTCCAGAAAGTAGGGATCATTCAGGTTTCCCCAGCCTAGACCCCTGACAATATATTGGTGATGAATAATACACAGCTTACACTTTTTTTTTTTTTTTTTTGAGATGGAGTCTTGCTCTGACACCCACGCTGGAGTGCAGTGGCTCAATCACTGCAACCTCCGCCTCTCAGGTTTAAGCAATTCTCCTGCCTCAGCCTGCCAAGTAGCTGGGTTTACAGGCGCCTACCACCATGCCCAGCTGATTTTTGTATTTTTAGTTTCGCCCTGTTGGCCAGGCTGGTCTCAAACTCCCAACCTCAAGTGATCCACTCACCTTGGCCTCCCAAAGTGTTGGGACTACACGTGTGAGCCACGGCACCTGGCCAACACAGCTTACACTTAATGAGCACCATATGCCAAGCCCCAAGTTGCCTACTTTTGCATTAGGTCATGTAATGCTTACAACCAGCTTGGAAGGTTGGAAGTAGGTGATACTATTCCTATTTTATCAGGAAGAAAACAGAGGCTTAGAGAGGTCATGCAGCTTGACCAGGGCCCACAGCTAGTAGGTGGCAGAGCAGGGCTTTGGACCTGGTTGTGTGTGTCTCCTAATGACACTCCGGGAAGCCCACCTGGTTTACAGTCCATGGCCAGTGGGAACGTTGGGAGCCCGAGGCGCTGGTTGGAAGTGGACCCTCCAGGCTGAGCCCAGACAGCTCTCCCAGACATCAGAGTGAGCTGTAGCCTATGACATCATTCCCTCTGTGGTCTCTGCGCCTCCCCGCCACTGCCCTGCCCCCAGCTGGGACTTGGGGAATGTATACGTTTGTCCTCCCGTTGGGCAGGAAGTGTGGCCACAGCTCCTGCACTCTGCTTACAGCCAGGCTGAGGTAACCATGCAGCTGTTTTTAAAAGCCCTTGGGCGCCATCGGGTTGCTATTTTGGGGACCACCTGCCGTCTGCTCCCACCCTGCCATCCAGCTCTTGTGGGCTCTGCTGGGCTTGAGGGGGGTTGAAATAATTTGGTGGTCAGTCCTTCAGCAGACTCTTGAACCAAGTCACTGGTTACAGCAAGGCTCTGGCCTAGGGACACCCCTCTGGGGATCTCTTAGGTGGCTGGTGATTCCTCAGAGCATTTTCCCACACTTACCAGCTTTTCTATTAAAGAGGTTCAGACTGTGCTTTTCTGTGCAGAAATGTTTATGTCTTTTTTTTTTGAGACAGGGTCTTGCTCTGTCACTCAAGCTGGAGTGCGGTGGCCCATTTATGGCTCACTGCAGCCTTGACCCCCTGGGCTCAAGCCATCTTCCTACCTCAGCCTCCTGAGTAGCTGAAACTACAGGCGTGCATCACCATGCTCGGCTAATTTTCTTTCTTTCTTTCTTTCTTTTTTTTTTAGTGATGGGGTCTCGCCATGTTGCCCAGGCTGGTCTCGAACTTCTGGGCTCAAGCGATCTGCCCACCTCGGCCTCCCAAAGCGCTGGGATTACAGGCGTCAGCCACTGCGCCCGACCTGCGTATGTCTTAATAAACTAGAATTCCCCTCCTCTCTGCCTCTGCTCCTGGGCTTTCTCTCTCGTTCGTTCGTACAGGGCCTAAAACTTGAAACACAGGAGGTGCTAAAGACATACTTGTTCACGTCTCCCCTTCTCTCCCCACTTTGTGAAATCTCTGGCACATTTTTTACATAGAACACTTTCTAGTGTATGCTAGGGCAGAAACACAGAATACGCTTTACATTTTGACTTGCTCTGTGTGTGTGTGTGTGTGTCTCTGTGAGTGTCATGGGAGCAAATATTCAATGCCTTGCCCCCTGAAATGACTCTCTCAGACAGCAATGTGATTGATTTGGGTTGACATGTTGTAAACAAAATGGAGCTTGCAGAATAGCTGTGCCTGAGTGTGCACACACACTCACATTCACACGCACATTCACACACACACACACACACACAATACCTTGGCTGTAATGCAGGAAGTGTGATTCTGATGAGTTTCCTTCCAGCTGAGGAGGCAGTTGCTGTGAAGTAGGACATTTCAAAGCCAAGAGAGAATTGAGGCAGTGAGAGGAAAGGAATGTCAAGGAGTACTTGCAGTAAGTGTAGGCAGCGGGGTGGAAGCATGGAAAGACCCCGATGCCCAGGCGGGGGGCAGCGTGCCCTCAGCCTCACACTGGGGCTGGCGCCTGGAGAGTCAGGGAGAGAGCCTCGAACAGCCTTAGGCAGTGTCTGCCTCTGCTGCCTGGCCTGGCTGCACAGGGCCATCCCTGCACCTCCCCAGCGGAGTCCCCTTCCATCAGCGGAGCACCAGATCCCCAGGGCTGCCCTTGCCCTGTTTGCTCTGAGGATGGGCCTCACCTGTCCTCAGGCCCTTTCTGCTTCTCCTTAAGTGGCTTAGCCTGGAGGAGCCTCCTTTCTCCTTCCCAGCAGCAGCACTGCCGGAGCCCCACCCACGTGGGCTGAGATTCTCTGTCACCAAGGACCCCAGGGAGACAGAGGTCAGAAGACCGAGAAACATGTAGGTGAAATAAAGCGAAAAACAAAACCAACCAAGAAAACCCCAAACCGTGCCTGGCTTTTCAGCAGCGACTTGATTGGACGTCCCTGTCTGTTCTTGCTCTTGGCCTTCAGGGTACGGCTGCTCAGAGCCGAGTGGATATCTTAGCTCTAAATTCCTGAGAAGTGGGACCTGCTTCCCCCTTTCCAGTCCTTGCCTGACTTTGGTTCTTTCTCTTCCTGGCAGGGATTAGGACTTCGTCTGCTGTGTTGTAGACATTCAGGGAGTGTTGATTGAGGGGCAGACTAGGAAGTGAGTGTGTTGGTGGAGCTGCTGTGAGGGGTAAAGTGGTAAGATGGCGTGTGAGCCAGAGGAGCTGCACTTGTCTGGGGAGAGTCGAGGCAAGAGGAGGGATCTTCCCTAATCCATCTGGGGGTGGGACTCAGGGAAAGGGACACACTGGGCGTTGCAGGGAGGGTGGTATTGAGATGTGGCACTCGTAGTGCCATGTTGCAATTCGCTAGGGCACCATTCACTTTATTTATTTATCTATTTGAATTTTAGAGATGGGGTTTCACCATGTTGCCCAGGCTGGTCTCAAACTCCTGGACTCATGTGATCCACACGCCTTGGCCTCCCAAAGTGCTGGGATTACAGGCGTGAGCCATGGCGCCCGGCATCCATTCACTTTATATTCTGTGTAAATGTTGCCCTGCAGTAGAGCACTTGTAGTGGATCACCATTTGCCATGCAGCAGGCATTATGCAATCATTGATGGAATGCTGGAATGCTTTCGTGTCCGTCCTGGGCCAGGCTCGGTGGGGGGACATGATAGAACATAGTCCTTCGCATCAAGGAGGCATTAGCCTTCTGCAGGGAAAAAGGCTGTATTCACACAGCACGGAGGGCCATAGAGAGCCACCATGACTCAGAGGGAACTCAGAGAGGCAGAGCTTCAATGAGGGACCCACTGTTCCTGGGAGACCTCATGGAGGAGGCACTGCTCAATCAGGTAACCACACCAGGGTGACCATGCTGCCATCGGCTCTCAGGAGCACCTCTCTCTCTGGTGGCTTTAGCCCTCTGCCTGCCCCCAGAAGCTGGGCCCCAGAGCGCCTCCTTCATAAACACCTCCTCTTCTCTATTTTTCTGCAGCCTTCAATACCCCAGGTCCCAAACTACAGGCTGTCGATGACGATCCCAGACTGGCTCCAGGCGATCCAGAATTACATGAAGACCCTACAGTATCCTTCCAACCAAGGTCTGAGCACACCCAGCCAGGGGACAGGCATGGTGATCGCAAGCCTGGTGGCAAATCTGTCCCCAGCTGGTCATCAAAAGCTCTCTAAGGTTGGTGAGGCCAGGCATGGAGGGATGTCCCGGGTGGGAGTCTAGAAAGAGTGTGCGTGGAGGTTGTCATTGCAGTGACCCAGTAGGGCAGGCTGGTTCCCCTTGAGCCCTTCTGCTTCTCTTTCTCCCTCCTCTTCCCTGTCCTTTCCCTTTTTCCCCTGAGCACCCCTCTTCCTTCTATCTTCTCCTCTTTCTCCACTTCCTTTCTCTTGGGCATCTTTGTTCCCCTCCTCCTGTTCTCCTTCACTGTCCTTCTTTTTGACATGAGGACTTGCTTTGTCACCCAGGATGGAGGGCGTTGGCGCATTCTCAGCTCACTGAAACCTCCACCTCCTGGGTGCAAGTGATTCTCCTGCCTCAGCCTCCTGAGTAGCTGGGATTACAGGCATCCGCCACCACACCTGACTAATTTTTGTATTTTTAGTAGAGACAGAGTTTCACCATGTTAGTCAGGCTGGCCTGGAACTTACCTCAAGTGATCCGCCCACCTCGGCCTCCCAAAGTGCTGGGATTACAGGCGTGAGTCACCACACGGAGCCCTCCACTGTCTATTGCCTTCTTCCCTCCTACTCTTCCATTCGTTTTCTCTTTCTCTGTTTTGCCCTCATCCCTAACTGCTCATGATCTACAAGAGGCCCACCTGGTGCTGCCTTTGTCTCCCCAGGTGACCCAGGCTGGTGACCTGCTTGGTTCTACATGAATGGTTCGGCTTCTGGGATTGGGGGCCCTCTCCCCCGACTCGAGCTTGAAGAAGACTTAAGAAACTCACTGGGTTCAGTCTGAGTTCAGACCAGCTGGTTTGGTCCCTTTCTTCTCCGCATCCGCAGGTTGTTTGCAGTCAGGATTACATCAGTTCTGAGAACTCCCACGAGCAATGCTGTAGGGACAGAGGGGCAGGAGCGGGTGGTCCACCTGCCCCTTCTGGTATTTTATAGAGGAGTCAGATGGGAAGCTGGACCCCAGCACATTGTCCAGGAGGTCAAGCTTCTGTGGACCGCTATCCTTCCTCCATGAATGTATAAAACATAGCCTGTTCTACAAGGTCCCAGGCACATTGACTGGCTTTCTGTTTGTCTGTC
This sequence comes from Homo sapiens, assembly GCF_000001405.40. NCBI lineage: Eukaryota > Metazoa > Chordata > Mammalia > Primates > Hominidae > Homo > Homo sapiens. Next base: position 212,962,440 of record NC_000001.11, read on the forward strand.
CATACCCAGCCCTGAGGCAGAAAGGATTTCAGGGGGCACTGCACACATGCCCCACATGTCCCAGAAAAGCCCCTCCATTCTATGTTATGGCAAAAATCTTTCTGGTGGATATTTGTGTCTTCCTTGCAGGGACCGAACACTAGCACCTCCCCCACAGGGGTTGGTGTTTACTAGATCGGAAAACACCAATTTCTGCTCATTTGGGTAGGGAGATTACTTGATTGGCTTCTCTGTTTTCACTTCACGGATCATCAACTCCCCAACATGGCATCTTTCCAGTAAAATCCTAAGGCAATATTAGGAGGAGGAGGTAGCGCCGGTCTCCAAGAGTGAGGCTGGCAGCCCTAGCCCTTGGAAGGCTGTCTGCTGTTTGTGCTGATCCCCACTCTGGGACCTGCATGGGGAGTTCCACATGGTCCCAAGGCACAAACTCCTGCCAGAGCAGACCTGGACCCCAAGAGCTGGCCCTTTCTGGATGTGACTGACTCCTCATAGGCTATTCTAGAAGGTGACAGCAATTAGAATGCCTCCCCATCTCTTTTTTTTTTTTAACTTAAAGTCAACTGATTATAGGCTTTAAGGTTCCCCACTTCTATCTAGGACATGGTCTTCACAAGGATCATCTGGCTGAGAGTTAAGAGAATTAAACTGGGAATGCATTGATGGGGCAAATTTGCATGTGCTTTACATATCATTTGCTCACACTGCTGTAAACCTGACAGCATATTCTCTGCCACATTTTCATGGTTGCCCTGAAGGATCTGCTTTTCCATTTTTCTCTTCTCTGACCCATTATGACTGCGAAGGTCAATGACCAACAGCATCACTGACTGCAGAGAGGGCCAGAGAAGGGAAGCACCAGCAGGCTGCGGGGACCTGCTCCCAGCCCCCTGCCCACTGGGGCCACTGCACGAGGAAGACAGGGCACCCACTCTTCTACCTGCTGACCTGACTTTTATTTAGTTCCTTGGGACTTCCTACTGCTTTGTCCTGGACACAGTGACAGGTGCCAGGATATGGGGACTGGTTGGCATCAGTCCTGACTGTGAATGTGCTCAGCTGGCGGTGGGGATAGGAAAGGACAAATCCTGCCTTCCCCTCAGACATCCTCGGCAGCAACCAACAAGAGTACTGGTGTTGCATGGGGTTCTGGAGAGAGAGGTGCCATGTGAGCTCTGCTGGATTGGGGGAGAAGCCTTCTAACAGCAAATTCGGGCTCAGTGAGTATCTCCCACTCAGGGCATGTTTAGAGCAGACTTCTCCCCAGCCCACTTTCAGGGACTCAATGATTAACTCTAAGGAACTGAAAGAAGATGTTCAGGTACACTTTTTTTTTTTATTTTACTCTACGTTTGTCTCATTTGTTACACTAGATGTATAAATTAGATATGTGAGCGGAGGAAAGTTGGGCATAGAACTGAATTTTTGCCAATTGAATTCTACTTTATGTACCAGGAACCTCGTTGCTTGTATAAAATTTTTGGTGAGGTAAAGAAATCACTTCACAATGAGAATATTTAGCCCTTCATTTTCCTCTTTTACCTCTAGGATCTTGTATGTTGTATGTTTTAAAAACTGGGCAAGACTGTATGGTTAGTTGTTGTTCTTAATGCCCAGGTCAGTAACTCTCAAACTGGTGATCTTGGGAGGCCCCCCAGCCCTCACCCTGGAGCTTCCTGCTCAGTCATCTAAGGTGAGGTGACTCTGAGTAGCATCTGGGGTTATGCTCCATGGCCTGAAATCAGACTCTCCAGGGCTGGAGCCCAGAATCTGCTTATACTGAGCTCTTCAAGGGGTTACGTGTGCTCGTGTCTGAGTGACCAAGCACAGCTGTGCCAAGAGAGGAATCCCAGCCCTTTTCAGGAGGGATCGAAGTGCCGCTAGGCGCCCCTGTCACTGTGGGGCACCCATTGACTCTCCCATCCCCACCTGGCCTGCAGCAGCTCTGGGCATAGAAATTCAGGCTTCATTAGCACCTTCCCGATGTGCACTTTTCCTATAGGCTTTTGTTTGAGGCAGAAGAGCAAAACCTACAAAGCAACTTCTCATTAGGCTCAGAAAAATCAAAACCCAGTCCTCAGAGAGCACGGCATCAGGGAACTCTCCATCTCCTTCAGAACAACTTGGTGCAAGCTGGTCAGTCCCTGAGACCTTCTGGGCAGTCAGCTAAATCCCAGATAGTGAATAATGGTGCAGCTTCTCAGATTTAGTAATCAATGCCAAGTGCCAGCATAGGCATGAAAAAAAGTGACATCTCCACAGTAAGCCCTGCTACAGAGTCTATGCGCTACTGCAAAGCCCTACTGCTAACAATCCACCCTTTCATCCTTGCTTCCATCCGTCCCCATCCACCCTTCCAATCCATCCATCCACTCATTCATCCATCCACCTTTCCATCCATCCATATATTCATCCATCCATTCATGTATTCCTCATTCATTTAGTAACATTTGTTAACTTGCATATGTTGGGTTTCTGCCAGGTTTTTTTTTTTTTTTTTAGACAGAATATCACTATGTTGCCCAGGCTGACGTGCAGTGGTGAGATCTTGGCTCACCATAAATTCTGCCTCTTAGATTCAAGTGATTCTCCTGCCTCAGCCTCCTGAGTAGCTGGGATTACAGGCCCATGCCATTACACTTGGCTAATTTTTGTATTTTTAGTAGAGACTGGATTTTGCCATGTTGGCCAGGCTGGTGTCGAACTCCTGACCTCAGGTGATCCACCCACCTCAGCCTCCCAATGGGGTTACAGGCATAAGCCACTGCACCTGGCCTTCTGCCAGGTTTTATGGGTGATATAAAGATAATGAAAGAATAGTTCTAGCTAGGTATGGTGGTGTATACCTGAGGTCCCAGCTACTTGGGAGGCTGAGGCAGGAAAATCACTTGAGCCCAGGAGTTCAAGACAAGCCTGGGCAACATAGCAAGACCATGTCTTAAAAAAACTTGTTTTTTTAAAAAAAGAATAGTACCAGCTCTCAAAGAGCTTGTAGTCTAGTAGGTGAATTAAGACAAATAGTCAACTACCCGGAATACAGAGCAGATTGAAAAGAGCTATTATAAAGGTCCATGGTACTTTGAAGCCTAAGTTAGAAATTAGATTTCCAGGGCAGGATAGTGAGGAGTTAGAGGCTACTACTAGCTACCTTCTGGGTGCTGGCGACTTCTGAAAGCCCTCACATCCTCATCTCATTGAGAAATCAGAATGCATAGCTTTCTCTGCCACATTACTGGGACCTTTGGAGTTTTCTGTCACTTTCCCTTTACATACTTTACACAGATATAATCACACAGGGACCCAGTTCTTTGAAATTAGGAAAATGAGACCGCTGAGTGGGTAAGTGGTGCATGATCTATGGGCCAGATGACCTCTCTCCTACATTCGAGCTGCCAGCTTCCTCTCCCAACCTCTATTCCCGTAGCCCATGGCTCAGGTATCCTAGTCTGTAAGGGGTGGAGGCGGAGGGTGCCCCAGGGCCAGGTTGGAGGTGGGACTGAGGACTGAGCAACTCTGACAGTGGAGCTCAGTGGTGAATTCTAGCTTCCAGGGTGGAGGAGGCTTGTAAACTCTGCCTCTCGAGGCTTCATTTATTTGTTCTATTGTAATGCCCCCGTGCTGGGGCATTGGGAGGGTGCTATGGAGTACTGGCACTAACTCCAGGAATTAACTCTTGTGCTTTGGTGCCTTCCTGCAAGGTGACTTCTCCCTTTTCCCTCCGTGCTCCTGTGTGGTTCCTGGTGTGGGGACAGGCATGCTGATGGATTGACAGACTGACCGAGTGTGTAATTAAATAGGTTCTGAGATCCTCTGCTGTGCTCTATCCTACAGGTTAATGGAAACAGCAAAAGAAATGACCCGAGAGTCCTTGCCTATCAAATGCCTTGAAGCTGTCATCCTGGGCATGTATCCTTTAAGTTATGTATGCTTAGTTTACTCCATAAATGGCGGCTTCACAATGGGGCTTGTTGTGCCTTTAACATTGTAAATTCTCAGAGATGATGCCCATTATCTCCTTTGAGGAAAGTGTCAAACTCCTCTGGTTCATCTCTTTAACTTTCACCATGTAGAATTGAACCAAATCAATGCTTGGCTTCTTGGACCAATATCAGTCTAACCTGTGAGCTTCAGCCTCCATCAGGTCCAGCTCTCAGGCCAGTGACCTTGCAGACTCACTAATCACAAGGAGAATTCTAACTTGGAGGGACTAGAGAGAGTGTGTATGTGGCTGTTCTTTGCATTAATATGACATTGCAGCAGGAAAGACAGTCAAGGGGAAATGCAATCAGAGCCAAGAGTGCTAGTATCCAAACCCATCTCCAGGGAAATGTCTTTGAAAATTCAGTGATATGATCTCAGCTCGCTGCAACTTCCGCCTCCCAGGCTCAAGTGACCTTCTGACCTCAGCCTCCTGAGTAGCTGGGATTACAGGCGCAGGCCACCATGCCCGGCTAATTTTTTGTTTGTTTGTTTGTATTTTTGGTAGAGATGAGGTTTCACCATGTTTCACCAGCAGGCTGGTCTCAAACTGCTGAGCTCAAGTGATCCGCCCACCTCAGCCTCCCAAAGTGTTGAGATTAGAGGCAGGAGCCATCGCGCCTGGCTCGCCAGGGAAAATTCTAAGAGTGGCGTGTGGAGGAGACCAAGCAGTGGTGGTGTATCCTGACTTGACAGAACCCACAGCTAAAACAAGGGTCTAGCTTCTCCCACACTTTCTGTTCCATTTTTCACCAGACTCCCGGCTCTTCAGCCTGAGAGGAATATGGTGCAGAGAAACTGTGATGGCATCGACATATTGGTGGTGATGACCACCTCCCTTACACAATAGTCTCATCCCTGCACAATTTTATACATTCGAGCATCATGCCATTGGAATCACCCACAACCCTTTGAAATTGTGGGGATAGACCCAGGAACAGCCTTTGAGCCTGATCTGCCACAATCAGATAGAAGAGCAAAGATGCTCCGAAGTCCTATGGGATGGATGGCTGTAAGGGACAGTGGAAAAGGAAACACTGCAAGACAGGAGCTTGAGAGATGGTCCCAGGCAAGATCAGTTAGGTCCTTGAGCGCTGTGCTGAGAAATGACTTTTTTCCAAAAGGCAATGGGCAACCCAGATGAAAGCTCTGAAGCAGAGGTGTGGCATGCTTAGGTATATGCTCTAGAGAGGTAGTTCTCCAAAGCACAGGCTGAAGGACAGATTGGGAAAGGCTGGGCTGGATCAGCAAAGCCCGTTGGGAGCTGTTACATGAGGGAATGGTGAGGCTAGACTCATGGCCCTGGGGATGGGAATGGATTTCAGGGAATGGTTTTAAGAGCTATCAAGGAGATAGAATGTATAGGACTTGCAGGCCAACCAGACGCAGGAGTTAATGAGGAAGGAGTCAACGTCTCCAGGTTTCTGAATTGGGCAATCGACTGCGGGATTAGCTGGAGGAATGAGAGTGGCAGAGAAAGGATATGCGTCAATGCAGACCTGAACTAAGACAGTGCCAGTGAAGGTGGAGGGAAGGGATGGAGGCATACATCATCACCACCACTAGGGGACTGCTTAGATGGGAGGAGTTATTGGAGAAAGGCAGTGACTCCACATTTCTGGCTTGCATGATAATGCCACAAGGGAAGAACTTCAAGGAGAGGATCGGATTTAGGGAAAGATGAGCTCAGATTTGGACATGTGAAATTTGAGGTGCCTTGTGGGATGTCGGAATGAGGTATTTGCAATGTGGAGCTCACAGGGGAATCTGCACTGGAAATGCGAATTTAGGAGCTGTGATTAGGAGGTTGTGCTTACTGTTCAATAAGTGAAAGGAGAAAAAGATCAAAGATGAAATCAGTATTTTTTGGTCTAGTTTGGCACAAAGAGCCCATGAAAGAGACTTAAGAAGGAAAGAGAGGTAGAAAGAAAACCAGGAGAGAAAGGGGATGGAGAGGTCAGTGGAAGGACATGTGGCTCAGAATTAGACTGGGGACAGGAGGATTGGTCTAGTCTGTTTTCTGGGTCTCCTGGACATCTTTGTGGGAAGGAGAATCTCTGTGCCTCTCTGCAGTCTGTGGAACACTTGCAGCCCTGATCTGAAACCAGATTGACCACAGGTGCCTTGGCTGACATTTGAAAAATGGAAACTTGAACCTTACTGAGGCCCCTCCCCAACCCTCTTGTCATCCTCCTCCCTGTTTCCCACAAAGGAGATGAAACATGTGCCTGGGGAACCCAGCAGGAAGCTGGGAATGGGGGTCGGGGCAGCAGATGGCTCAGGGCCCCAACTCTTTAGTGGCAGGAGTCAGCCACAGCTGTTCAGCGAAGCCTCCTGCAAGTTTAATGGGGGCAGATGATTGGCTGGGGATTTGCTGGTGGAAGAGATCAACGAAGGGGAACACAAGCCCAGGCCCTTCATGGGGTAGACAAGCTAACTTCAGACTCTTTGTTGAGGGGTGTCTGAGTGCCTCTGGATTTAGGTCATTGAAATGACCACCTCCCTTACACAATAGTCTCATCCCTGCACAATTTTATACATTTGCGCATCATGCCACTGGAATCACCCACGACCTTTTGGAATTGTGGGGATAGACCCAGGAACAGCCTTTGAGCCTGTCCAAATCAGAGACAGTGTGCTCGTGGTTTTCCTTTGTTCTTATCCTTCTGACATTTCAGAAAAGTGCAGGAAGGTGGAGAGCTTCAGTTCACGCTGCTGAACTCAGGGAAATTTGACTCTTGCACACAGACAGGAAACACAGATCCGAATTCTTCTTCTTTTTTTTTTTTTTTTGAGACGGAGTCTTGGTCTGTCGCCCAAGCTGGAGTGCAGTGGCGAGATCTCAGCTCACTGCAAGCTCTGCCTCCCGGGTTCACGCCATTCTCCTGCCTCAGCCTCCCCAGCAGCTGGGACAACAACAGGCGCACGCCGCCATGCCCGGCTAATTTTTTTGTATTTTTAGTAGAGACAGGGTTTCACTGTGTTAGCCAGGATGGTCTCAATCTGCTGACCTCGTGATCCGCCCACCTCGGCCTCCCAAAGTGCTGGGATTATAGGCGTGAACCACTGCACCTGGCCCGAATTCTTTTTTTGAGACGGAGTCTCGGTCTGTGATCCAGGCTGGAGTGCAGTGGCGCGATCTCGGCTAAGTTTTTGTATTTTTAGTAGAGATGAGGTTTCACCATGTTGACCAGGCTGATCTTGAACTCCTGACCTCAGGTGATCTGCCCGCCTCAGCCTCCCAAACAGACCTGGATTCTAAAAGTTACAGCATCTCTGTCTTTTCTCTTTGCTTTGGTCAGCATCCCTGGGTCCTGCTTTCCACTCGGGGATAGTGAAGGATATGAATGGGTTCATCCGTCTGTGTCTCCCACAGGCCCTTCTGCAGGTCCTGGCTCAACAACTTTGAAACTGGTTGGCTTGGCTGCTTGGACGCCTGTGTCCATTGGCCTGTCCTTCCTTGCCTTCTCTTTTTTTGACTTTGGCCCAGAGTTCAGGATTCATTAGTTCTGAGCCACTTCTTTTTATCTTGCTTGAGGGCATGCGCATGCTTTTACATGCATGCTGGAGAGGTAGATCTTTGCTTCCAAATTATCTTGTGAACTATGGCAGGTATTTTGGGGGGCCTCACTGGCCATGGTGGGGCTTGCTTGTGGTACTAAAGCACTGTGGTTTATTAAAGAAACAGGTTCATTATGAGAGGCAGGTTAGGAATAGCCCCAGGAGGCTGGATGCCAGAAAGATGATCCCTGGCTTGGCGCTGCTGCTCCCGCTTCCCTGGAAAAGGTCAGGTTACTCCCCTGCCTGCCTCCATACTACCTCGCCACCTCCCTCTCCATTCCCAGTTGCTCCAGGTCCCAAGGCTTTACCAGTTGACATCATGATGGGAGAAATCCTCAAGATCAGTGACTCGTGACATGAGGGACTGGTGCTCTCTCTTGTCTCCTCCCCACTTCTCCACCTGGCTGACTACTTATCCTGTAAGATGAATTCCAGTGTTACTCTGCTGAGGCCCCTCCTCTGTCCACCCAGAGGTTGCTAGGCTTGCCTTTCTTATAACACACTTCACATTGTGTTTTGGTTTTTATTGTGGTAAAATATAACATAATTTACCATTTTAACCATTTTTAAGTGCACAGTTCAGTGACATTAAGTGCATTCATAATGCTCTGCAAAATGACCACCATTCCGGCCAGGCGCAGTGGCTCATGCCTGTAATCCCAACACTTTGGGAGGCCGAGGAGGACAGATTACCTGAGGTCAGGAGTTCGAGACCAGCCTGACCAACATTGTGAAACCCCGTCTTTACTAAAAATACAAAAATTAGCCAGGTATGGTGGCGGGTGCCTGTAATTCCAGCTACTCAGGAGGCTGAGGCGGGAGAATCGCTTGAACTTGGGAGGCAGAGGCTGCAGTGAGCTGAGATCGCACCACTGCACTCCAGCCTGGGTGACAGAGTGAGACTGTGTCTCAAAAAAATGAAAAAAAAAAGACCACCATTCCTCCCCAGAAATGAAACCCCATACCCGTTAAAAAGTACTCCCCATTTCCCCCCTCCAGCCCCTGCCCACCACCGTTCTACTCTCTGTCTGTATGCACTTGCTACTCCAGGTACCGCAGATGAGTGGAATCATACCATATTTGTCCTTTTGTATTAGGCTGATTTCACTCAGCATGTCTTCAAGGCTCATTCTGCACATTGCAGAATTTCCCTCCCTTATGAGGCTGAATAAATTCTATTACATGTATACACTACATTTTGTTCATCCCTTTATCCATCGATGGATATTTGCGTTGTTTCCACCTTCTGGCTATTGCAAATGATGCTGTTCAGAGCATGGGTGTACAAATACCTGCTGGGGTCGCTGCTTTCAATTCTTTTGGGTATGCACCCAGAAGTGGAATTGCCAGGTCCTAGGGTAATCCTGTTGAATTATTTGAGGAATTGCCATACTGATCACATTGTGTGCATTCTGAGTCCATCTCCCACCAGACCTCCGGAGAAGGGCTGTGTTCTTATCTTTGGCTCCACAGCCCTACCTGGCAGGCTGTCGGGCACAGCAGACACTCAGGGTAAGTGTTTGTCACACTGACTTAAGCAGCTAAGGAATGCCCTTGTTCCAGCCCCAGAGAACTTGCCCCAGAAAGCAGCTAGGAATTTACGTAAGAGGACTCAGAAGGATGTGATTTCACTCCCTAACTGCCAGGTGATCTCACATGATAAAGTGAAGAGAAAGCAAGTACAAAACTGCTTTCTTTCTAGAGAGTGGAGGCATCCGTGATTAAACCGAGAGCAGAGGACAAGGCTGCCGCCAGTGCTGTGGATGGATTCTGTCAGCATCCTTCTCTTCAGGGCACTTGGATTAGCTCTGGCACCGAGAGCAGCCCTTTTAAGTGTAAGGCAGTGCACATCCACAATCTAAGGTTCGTTCTTTCTGTAAGCATTAAACAAGCCCATCTGTGTACCAGGCCAGTGCTGTGCCCAGGGAATGCCAGGATGTGAGACACAACCCCCGCCCTCACAAGATACAAACAATTACAGTACAGGATGGGTAAGCACCAAGTGCCATGGGGGTTCTTGTGTGTTTTGGAAAGATGATCCCAGGCTTGGTGCTGCTGCTCCCCCTTCCCTGGAAAAGCTCAGGTTATATACTCCCCTGCCTGCATTCACATTTCATTGCCACCTCCTTCTGCATTCCCAATTGTTCCAGGTCCAAAGCCTTTACCAATTGACTTGGGGCGGGGCAGGGAGCAAGAATACCTAAGCTAGGATGAGGAAGGTCAGGGAGGCAAGACACCCAGGAGAGGGGAAGGGATAGTCATGAGGCTGTTCCAGGCCGGGTTGCAGCCTGTGTGAGCCCCAGGAGCAGAGGAAAAAGTGCCTTGTTATTGTTTTGTTTTGCATGTATGTAATTACTGAAGAAAATGACAAGTTTTTCTCTTTGTCTCATATTTACTTGGTTTGGATATACAGCATATAGTAGATAGTCAAACATAACAAGCGAATCCTTTATAAAAGGATTAGTCTGGAAAAGTTAGATGTGGGCCTGCTCAGAGGCAGGGGGATGGACTCACTGAACCCTGAGACACTTTCCCTTCCTTTGCATCCAGGCTTCAAATTTTCAAGGCCTCCTTTCTCTTCCTTGACTCAGATTGTCTAAGCTACTTAACCAATGGGCAGCCTTCCATTGAGCGGTTCCCCATCAGCTTTAAAACCTACTTCTCAGGAAACTACTTTCACCACGTTGTGCTGGGGATTTACTGCAATGGCCGCTATGGCTCATTGGGCATGAGCCGCAGGGCTGAGCTGATGGACAAGCCATTGACTTTTCGGACTCTGAGTGACCTCATCTTTGACTTTGAGGACTCTTACAAGAAATACCTGCACACAGTCAAGAAGGTCAAGATTGGGCTGTACGTCCCCCATGAGCCTCATAGCTTCCAGCCCATTGAGTGGAAGCAGCTGGTCCTCAACGTCTCAAAGATGCTGAGGGCTGACATAAGGAAGGAGCTGGAGAAATATGCCAGGGACATGAGAATGAAGGTGGGTGCTGGGAAGACAAGGAAGCCATGCAGGAGAGCTCTTTTCCCATTCCTTTCTCTCTGTCTCTTGCTCCAGGCCTCATTTTTCTAGGATGGCCAAAAATTTCTTGAGGTTAAAGTCTCTCTTTGCACATACTACTGCAAAGAAAGCCATCTAAAATCAATTTAGATGCGACAGTTAAAACAATGTCTCGTCCTGCAATTCCTTCTATGAAATCAGATCTAAAGTGTTAGTCATTTTATATTGAAGCTCTAGTTTGTTCTGTTTTGTCGATGTAATAGGGTGACCAGTTGTACTAGTTTGCCTGGAACTGCGGGTTTTCCCAGGACATGAGATTTTCAGTATTAAAACCTGGAAAACCTTATATGCTGGCCTTATATAGACTATACTCATACGTCCCTCTTCTCTCTCTCAGTTTTACCTCCAAAGTGATGTGATTCCCGCTTGTCCATGTCCCTCCAGGGCTTGTGCAGTCACTAAGAGAAAAGGATTATGCTGACTTCAGGCCTGGCTATGTTTAGCACTTGTGGACTTGTCATCTTCACTCTGCAGGACCTGGAGTGGAGATTCCTGATCAATTAAAACCATTCTGTCATATGTGTGGGATGGGAGCATCAGAGGAAGAACAGGCTGGTTTCTGAGGCAATAGAGATGGGACTTTGCCTTCGTGAGGAGAGGAACTTGCCAAGCAAACAAACACAGCCCCGGGGAGACTGAGGCATTGGGCTGTGTTCCTCTCTCTACACGGCACAGGGAGCACAATGTGACCATCTGTATATCTGTCTTGGAAGTGGTGCCCTTGCTGCTTGACAGTACAGGACGAGAGAGGAATGTGTGTGTCTCCAGCCTCCTTTTTTAGAAGTCTTCCTGCTCAATGCCTTCTAAACCATGGCATCATGATTGGGCTGGGGGGTGGAATGTGGTGCTAGAAGAAGACCTGAGGGTGGAGGTCCCTTAGGAACCAGGGTGATTAACTCCTCACATCTCCTTCAGATCCTGAAACCTGCAAGTGCCCACTCTCCGACCCAAGTGAGAAGCCGGGGAAAATCCCTGTCCCCCAGAAGGAGACAGGCAAGCCCCCCGAGGAGGCTCGGCCGGCGAGAGAAGTCGTGAGTAATATTTCCTCTTCCCCAACTCAAAGCCCAACACACACATTCAAGGGGTTGTCCTGGCCCATGGGGACAAAGCTGTGTCTTGGGCATGGCATTTGAACCTGACAGCAATCTCCAAGAGGACTGCCCCTCATTCAGGGGACATCTGTGGAAAAGGATCCACTGGGCACATCACCCCATTGCCACTTCTCTGCTGTCAGTTGCACACAAACGGAGGGATAAGCCCCAGGCAGAATGAGGTGAAGAATAGTCTGAAATGCAGGTGGCCCGGAGGGAGCCTTGGACTTAGAATTAGGAAACCTGGGGCTGGAACTGGCTCAGCTGCTTGGGGATGTCTTTGTTATCTTTCTGGGCATAAGTTTTCTCACCCATAAAATGGGATTGTTAGAATTTATGAACTTCCCTAAAATTCTGTAGTCCTCTGTACCCAGCAGAAGGTGTGATTACCATCAGTGGACGGTGGCATCAGAAACACCCACCGGCTCTTCTTCTTCCTTGGCTAACTCTACCCTCTCCGTTTCAGCCCTGAGGCCAGTGATCCCACATCTACTTCTTAGACCAAAATAACCCACTTAAGCAATGACAGATTGGAGATGCTGGGGATGCCCAAATTCACCAGCGATAATCCGCTGGCAAATATTTGAACTATAGCCATCCTGGGAAAAAATACTGCTTTTCTTAATAATAGCAGCATGCTGTGTCACCCAGCCTCTTGCCATGCTGGAACCATGTGGCACAGTGCACAGGGGGCTTGGTTGAATCCCAACTGTGCCACGTGTTAGCTGTGCAGCTGGGCACATCCTTCCTCCTCGGGGAGCCTTGGTTTCTTCATCCATAAAAGAGTATCAAATGCTCTCCTTGCCTATCTGACACGGTGGTTTGTAAAGATCCAAGTAGATGATGTAACGAGAGTGACTTGTCAACAGTGAACTGCTTTCACACAAGCACATTATCGTCATTACATCAATCCTGTACAGTGAGCAGGGAACATTTTACGAGTTTTGTTTTCAGGTGAAGAAACCAGGACACAAAAAGGGCTTGTTATCTTGTAGTAAGTTCTGTAGCTGGTCAGTGAGAAATGGGGCTGAAACCCAGGTCCTCTGATTCTGGGAGGTGGCAGGGCAGAGTCGGGGAAGGTTCTGTTTTCGGAAGAACAGGACAGGACGAAGTATTTTCATTTCCAAGGAAGGTTCTTTACTTGCCCCATTCCGCGTCCTACAGCCAGTCCTGGGTTCAGCAGGTACTGCCACGAGGGCCTTGGTGACAATGGCTGTCGTTCTGGGTTGGGAAGGAGGGTGTGAGGTGTGAAGCAGTGAGAGGTCAGGTGTTCCTGGTAGCAAGAGAGGCTGAAGATGAGAACAGTTTTGGCATAGGTTTGTCCTTGCAGGGAGCAGGATGGCTTCCAGCCATTCACACGTGGCCTCCTGACCCCAATCCTCCCCGTGATGCTGGCCACTGCCCTTGACCCTGGACCCTAACCTTAGCCCTTACCCTATATCTCTCTCTGTCTTTGATTCAAACATCCATTAACTGCTGTCATCACAAAGTAGTTGTTGTCTCAGAGGACTATGAACATAGAAACTCTTCCCAGAGGGTCATTTAGCATAGAGTGAGTGACCCAGCAATAGCAAGTTGCTCATAAAAGAACTGATTTTGTCTGATTTATTATCTGTTTTGCCCAAGGAGGGCTGAGTCATTCCCTGAGGAGCTCCCAATCTTCAGCAAATGTCGAGCAGAGTCTATAAAAGCCTGCCCTTCCCTTTAGACTCTAGAATCCAGAGGACATGAAGGCCCAAGCATTCCACCTGGCAATGGATTCCTGCACAGAATGGTGGCTATTGATTTTGAAGACTAGTCCTGGTGGATCCGTTTTACTTGGATCCACAGGGACTTTGCATTCACAGGGCCATGTTGAGTTTTTAACCAGGAAACGTGACCATAAATGTGAGGGGATGGTAAAGATCTTAGAAACCATGGTAACAGGATGATGTCAGGAGTCAGGAGGTGGTGGTGGCTGGTTTGGGAAATGTGGAGGAAGGAGAGTTTGAGTTTGGATGATGGGATGTGGGGTGCATCTTCGGCATTGGGGGAGCTGCTAAAAATGCAGACCTGGAGTTTGAGGAAGCTGGGGGATAAAAGTCCTATTGGAGCCATCTACTTAGAATTGCCAGTTGAAATGACAGCCAGATAAGTCTGTGAGCAAAGAAAGAAGAGAAAAAAGAAATGGCTGGGCATGGTGGTTCACACCTGTAATCCCAACACTTTGAGAGGCCAAGGAGCGATAACTGCACAAGCCCAGGCATTTGAGACCAGCATGCCTATGCCACATAGGGAGACCCTGTCTTTACAACAACAACAAATTAGCCAGGCATGGTGATGCATGCCTGTAGTCCCAGCTTCTTGGGAGGCTGAGATGGGAGGATCACTTGAGCCTGGCGTTTCAAGCCCGGATAGCACCATTGCTCTCCAGTCTGGGCGAAGGAGTGAGGCCCTGTAAAAAAAAAAAATGGTGACGACAAGGCCCTGAGGAAGCCCAAGAAAAAGAGCCAGAACAGAAGATGGAAGAGGAACAGTCAGAGAGGGAGAGGATGGATCAGGACTGTGAGTGCACCTGCGCCTGCAGAGGACAGCTGTCAGAGTGCCGCAGCCGTGAGTGCAAAGCTACCTTCTGGTGTTGAGGCACCACTTGCCCTCTGCCCTCCTGCCCATCTGGCACACCAGAGTGGGCCTGGGAATGGGGAGAAAGACCAGGGAAAGGGAGTGGTCGCCTGAGGTCAGGAAGGAAGACCTGCAGGAAGAGGGCATTCTCCTCCATTACCTTCTGTCGCGCATGTCCCGGAGTCGACCCCAGCCCCACTGGGGGAAGCACAGGAGCACAGAGGTGATGGCTCAGGGCTCAGCAGTGAAAACATAAGCTTTTCAAAAACGATGAGAAGTGGCCGCAACAAGGTGAGGAGGGGTGGGTTTCAAGGGGGAGGAGGGAAAGTAGTGGGGGAAGGAGAAGCACTATGCACTGAGGTGACATTTAGAGAGGCAGTGTTGAGAGGGCTGAGGGGCTGGAACCAGCCTGCGAAAGGGAGTGAGAGTGAGAGCTGATGGAGCTGATGCAGGCCAGATTCCTTTATCAAGAAGGAGCCCTGAACAGAGATGCAGCAACCTGATTTCTCACTCCAACTCTGCCATGAACCAGCTTGCGGCTTTGAGCAAGCTGCTTCTCTGTGCCTCACCTGTGTAAGGGGACGGGGGACTTAGAGCAGATTATTCTAGGTAGTTTGTAAACTCTATAGAGTTCTCCTGGGGCTTTTGTCTTTCTAGAATTGGAAGAGACCAGAGTGTCTTTGGACACACGGAGAAAATAACCAGGAGAAAGAAATGAGTGTTCAAGAGCAAAGGGATTAATGGAGGAAGATATATGAGCAGCTGGGGTCACATGGTATGGAAGGCTACAGAGAGGGCTTAGAAGGTGGTGGGTGGGGGAGAGGGTAGGGCAAAGGAAGGGGGGACATTAGGGAGAGCTTGACATACATGAGGAGGTAGAAGTTGAAGGACTGTACCTTAAGTGGCCTTTATCCTGCCAGTGAAGGAGTTGAAGAAAGGGCCCAGCTGAGGACAGATAGATAGGCCCTGCAGTCCTGTTCTCAACTCTGAGTGTGCACCAGCATCACCTGGAGGGTTTGTTGAAACAGAAGACTGCTGGACCCCTTTCCCAGAGCTTCTGATTCAGCACATATGGGATGGAGCCTGAGAACTGGTGTTTCTAATGATGCTGATCCTGCTGGTCCGGGGACCACACTTTGACATCTACCGTTTGCTTCAGCCGCAGGCCTCCACCTGTGTTTGATGAATCAGAATGGGAAAACTGAGTTGGCGGTTGACCCTGAAAAATAACAGTCACTGGCTAAAAGTACTGGGTCTGCTGAGAGGGGCAGATAAAGCCGTTGGGTGTGATTTAGGGGCTCAGCCTTGTCCAGTGTTGCCTGGATCTCTGGATAATGAGGTTGTGGAGGTGAAGTTAGGGGGTCTGACCCTGCACTGGCTCCCATGTTTGGGCCCCAGTGAAGTCATTCTGGGAGGGGCCCAACTGGTCACTCTCCTGGGGGCCAGACTGGGCCTCCGGTCCTTCATCCCCTAGGCCATGCCCATACGCTAATCTCTGACTACTTTTTCATGCAGCCAAGGCAAGTGACCACCCCTGCGCCTGCAGAGGACAGCTGTTAGACTGCCTCAGTTGTGAGTGAAAGCTATCTACTCTCCCGCTCCCCTCCTACCCTGCCAGCACATCAGAGTGGGCCTGGGAATGGGGAGAAAGACTGGGGAAGGGAGTGGTCGGTCACTCGAGGTCAGGAAGGAAGACCTGCAGGAAGAGGGGAATTCTCTTCCATCACCCTCCTCCCTCCACGCCCCAAAGTCGATCCCAGCCCCAGTGGGGAAAGCCCCAGGAGCACGGAGGTGATGGCTGATGGTTCAGTGAAATCATCAACTTTTCAAAAAAGGTGAAGAGTGATTGCCACCTGCCTCAGAATCCCCCTGACTCACGCCCCTGCCCTCGAGCCCTTCCTCCCAGGTAAACATTGATTCCCAAAAGTCCTCCTTCCTAAACTGCTCCCAGTAGGTCAGAGTCTTTGCGGTTTTTTTTCCCCACAACTAGGGCCGAGTGGCCTTGGAACGGTTTGACCATCCACAGAGCCCAGTTGGCTTGTAGGTGCCCGTGGACAATTTTGTATTAGCAAATCCAGTAAGACTATGGTTATTCTTGGTGGCGGAAACCCTTGCCACTTCTTTTCTCTTTCTCCAGCACTTGGAGGTTGGGAGGGAACTCTGGAGGGCAGATCTCTCAGCTGAAGTTTCAAATGGATTGAGGTGTTTGAGGAGGGAAGATTCTCTCCCTAATTCCTCCGAAACCTTGACTTCTGAGTTGCAGGGCTGGGGAAGAGATTGCAGGGTCTACTGTGTAGGAGGAGAGGGAAGAGAGGTGCAGGACATGAGAATAAGAAGAAGAGCTGTGAGAGGCCACAAGCACTGGAGCGCCAAGCCCCAGCTTCCCTCTCTAGATTCCAGCTCCCGCCATTCTGCCACACTAGAACTCAGGACAGCTGTGTTCCTGGAGGTATGTTTGGAGAGAAGCAGCTTCTCAGCTTCCACCCATGGCCTTCGCCAAGCAGCCTTTTCTCTAGGTAATCTTGCTTTTGGCGAGGAAATGAGAAAGTGACAAATATGGTCTTGACCCAATCACTCCACAAACTCCGGGAATCTTACTGTAAGATGGCCAGGACTAGGGTTTGGTGACTCTGTCCCTGTGCTATTCTGTCAGCATTACATAAGGCCATCGCGTCATTTCTAAATGTGTTGGGTGTCATGAGGAAGCTTGGGAGGGGCCCAAAGGGTGGAAAATTACCATAACAGGCGAGAGGCCCATCAGCTGTGGGGTCCCAGTCCCTGTCTGCCATGGATAATTTTAGTGGCATTATATCCCCATCCACCTCCTCCCTCCAGCTGGAGCGACTTCCAGCCTTGAATTCCTCTCCATTTTTGCACTTGTCTAAATAATCCCTTTCGAGAGGAGGATCAGTGTCACTGGGTTGACAAGAATCAGCCGAGGGGGAGGGCAGGTGAAGATGACTGCGTAGCATCCGCTGAGACCAAGTTTCAAGAGGGAAACCAGGACTCCCCCACCCTTCCACCCACGGGTCCTTTCTCACACTGCTCCTCTGGGAGTGTGTAAAGCACCTACTACACTGAATTGTCAAGTTTTTTCCTGTGGTTCGTAAAGAGAAAGGGAGAGGGAGGTTGAGATTCATGTTTCAAAGGCCATCTGTGAACTTAAACCAACTCCTTCCCAGCCCCGGGCCTCAGAACCCTTGCAGCTCTTCACTAAGGGGTGTTCCCAGGGGTTCTCAACTGGGTCAGCTCTGGGAGAGGAGGGTTAGAAGTGTGGTGGGAGGTGGAAGCGTTTGCTTCTCACATCTTGGTAAGTGAGGAGGCTCCTTGCTAGGGCCGGGGGCCTGAGATGGTAAATGCCCCGCAAAGCCCAGGACCACCCTGCCCAATAAAGAACCGTTCCACCTCAAATGCCAACAGCGCCCTCACTGGGAAGCTTCAGCGCTCTCCGAGGTCCTTTCCATTTCTGACAGTTCATGACTCTTGGCTTGCTGCCTATGAGCTGGCCCTGGGTGAATTGGAGTGAGCAGATAGTGATTTTCTGGTTTTGCAGCCAGAGTGACCACGTGAAACATTCTTCTCAATGGAGGCCAGTGTTCCTGAGGACCCATGAGAACCTCTTCATCTTCTCTCCCCTGTGTGGCTGCTTTTTTCCTGCTGTCTCTCCTCCTGTTTTCTTTGCTGGTCACCTTTCTTTGCCTCCCCTTTTCTTCCTCTTTGATTTCCCTTCTTCATCACTGATCTCTGTGGCAGTTCATGGCTCCAGCGGGCTCTGTCTGCCCTGCTGGACACCCTGGGGGTCCCAGAGGTTAGTAAGCCCTGAAAGCCCATCTCCTTTCACTGCAGGGCCTTGAGCTGGACAATGGAATTCCTGCTGCATTCTGTCAGGAAGGATTACGTATGTCCAGACATCTGGTTGAGTAAGGGCAGAAGTTGTTTAATGAAGTCATTGAAAATAAATTTGATTCCATGGTCTAATCACATTGACTGGTGCCCAAGAAGTAATTCTCCTTAGATCCCAAATGAGAAATATCCCCAGTGAGAAAAGGAGATTTCCTTAGGGTGGAAAGTAGAGGGAAGCAAACAAACAAAAAAGAACACTAGGAAGGCTACGAAGGGAAAAGCTAAACCGCCAAGATGGTGAAGGGGCAGTTTCTACTCCAGTGACTGCCTGGTCAGTTCCCCCAGGGAAATTCATATGGCCCAGAGTCTCCAGGGATGCTTGGAGAAACCAAGATGGAATGATGGGCCTCATCAGAAAAGACCACCTCAGGCAGAGTGAGCCAGGAGCCTCTGTGAGCTCCCCAGGGTCACATAGGGTCAGACAGGGGCAGACAGGGTGAGGTTTCCTAGAGCTGAGGGGTTCTTGTCCCGGAAAGGAGAAGTGACATCAGAGCCTGGAAACTGTGCCCTGGAATCTCCAACAGTTGGCCTATGGCCAGAGTCTCCTGCCTGGGGAGGGCTCAAAGGGATGGGCACCGGCTGAAAAATCTCTTCTGGGCCGAATCCGTCTTGGCTGAGGCCTCTGTTTACATAGCAACATCAGCTGTCTGCCCTGGCAGCTGCCAGCACCGGTGCTTTCCATCAGGGGAAGCAAGGAATGTGAGGGAGGAGCGGACTGGCCTGGAATGAAGGTGACAGGTGTGAATGAAGCTTCCCTTTCCCTGTGTCCGTCCAGCTGAGGCCATGCTCTGCCTCTGCGGCCTACCCAGACCGGCCGTGAATCCTAAATCGGGGCCTGGTCTGACCTGATTCTGGCCAGACTCCACAAGAAGGGTGGCCCTGGGGTCTTTGCTTAAACTTGTAAATGCTGGGCCAAGAGCACCCCTGGTTTAATCTCTTCCACATTCTTAACATCCGGGATTAAGAGTCTAACGTTTACAGTGGCACTTTTCCCACACTTCCCTTCCTGGACTCCCGAGCCTGCAGGCTGTACCGCCAGTCTGGCCTTTGTGTTTCTGTGTGAGGGTGAGCACCTGCCGGCACACGTACCCAGACATGGCCCTCAGTCAGAGGTGCGGAAGAGAGACTGGGTGGTTGAGGGAACCCTGTGAACTTCCTCTCCTCGTCCTGTTTCTTTTCTTAAACCTCATCTCTCCCAGATACACCCCTATGCATGTTCAGCCTTGGGATGTGGTCATGTCTCCACTCCATCACTTTCTGGTTCTGAGGCTTCTTGTGGCTGCACAGATGGCACCATCTGGTCAGGCCGAGCTCCTCCTCTGCACTGAGGCTGCCTCAGAGTGTGAAGGACTTGGTGTGCAGCTGTCAAAGTTGAGATAGCAGTGGCAGAGAGTAGTAGGATTTTTGACAGAATAACTTCTCTGTGGAACCACCACCCTGTTCTCCCTAGCCTACCTCCTGCTTTGAGCACCCTCCGTCCAGCTGGCTCCGGGAATGCAGACCTGTCATTGGGGTTAAGTGTAGCCTTGGGGCCAGGCCATCAAGCTTTCACCCTAGTTCACTCTGAGTCCATTTACGTCACAACAGGTGAGGCTGGGACTGTCTGTGCATGTGGATATCCTTTCTCCTGCAAAGTGAGTCAAAGTAAAGTTTTCTACTCTTTTTCCCCTAAAACAAAATGTTGCCGGAGAACCTTGAAAAAAGAAAATTCTTTCATTTCTTTGCCTTGTTTGGAGGAGGATGGCAGGGAGGTGGGGTTGGAGAAATATATTAGTCTAAAATAATAACCCTGGATCCGATGAGAGGTTCTGGGCAAGTGCAGACCCGGCTGAATCATCATCCTAGTGCTCGTGTTTCTTAAAAATAAACCCCCTTGCAATATTCTAATTAGAGCTGGGGGAGCACTTGGAAGAGTCCTCTCTATACACAATAGCTCACCCAGCTCTGGCCCTGAGATGAGCTGGCAAGGACTGAATGACATTTCTGGCTGGGCCCCACAGGCAGGTGGCATGCTGTGATAACCTACTTCTGCCCTATGCCAGCCAAGGAGATTGCAGCCACGGTTGCTGTAAAAGAAAAGGATTTCATCTTCTGGGCAGTTCACCAGGAATCTCAGTTTAGCTCATTTTCTGTCAGTATTAGCCCTTTTCTTCTCCTGGGTTCTGGGTACTTAGTGGAAGGTGGCAGGGGTGGGGATACAGAAGAAGAAGATGACCTAGTCCCTTTCCTTTGGAAGCACTCAAGCTGTTGATGCATTCAGCTTAATGAGTAGGCAGGTTCCCCACATGGCTTTCAGGGGTAAAGCAAACCCACTCCAATACGGAAAATAAATGTTCTTCCTGCTTGTTAATTCTGAAAATGTTGTCATGGTAACTTGAATTCCTGGCTTAGGACTTTGTCTCTAAAATAAAATATCCCATGATAAAGGTAACAGATGATTCACTATCATCCATTTACATGTTAGTGAGAATTTGATTGATAAGTACGTATTCCACAGTGGGATTCATAGATGAATTTCCCTGGTCCCTCCTTTCAAATTGTTCACAGTCTCTGAGGCAGGTGTAATGATTATGAATTGGCAGGATTCTGGAACAGATGTTGTCTTAGTCCATTTTGTGTCGCTGTAACAGAATACCTGAGACTGAGTCCTTTATAATGAACAGGAAATGTATTGGCCCATGGTTCTGGATGCTGAGAAACCCAAGATCAAGTGGCTGACATCTGGTGAGAGCCTTCTTGTTGCACTGTCCCATGACAGAGGGCAAAGAGAGGGAGAGAGGAAAGAAAGAGAGCAAGCACAAGTGTGCAAAGGGGCCAAAGTCATCCTTTTATAAGAACCCACTTTTGAGAAAATACTAATCTATTCATGAGGGTGATGCCCCCGGATCCACACACCTCCCACTAAGCCCTGCCTCCCAACCCCACTGCACCGAGGATCGAGTTTCCAAACCCATGAACTTTTGGGGACACATTTAAGCCATAGCAAATGTACCAAAGAAAATGCCAGAGCATACAGAGCAAGTAGTGGATTGTGATGGTAGGGAGTCAGAAAATACTTCCTGAGGTTAGTGACATTTGGGATTGCCTTCTAAGGATGTGGAGATGTTGGGGAGAGCATTCTAGACAGGAGACAGCATAAGCCAAGGTGCAGAGGCAGGAGTGGCCATGGTGTCCTTCTCAGATGCTTGGAAAGATGCTTTGAGGTGGCAGAGGAAGGGTGAAGTTTGCATTGTGGTTCAGGGTGTGGGCTCTAGATTCTGGGGACCAACTCTGGCTCCAACACTTGCTAACTGCATGACTTTGCTTTGAGCAAATTCCCTACCTTTCAGTACCTCCATTATCTCCTCTATAAAATGGACAGTACCAGTATCAACCCCGTGGGTTATGGTGAGGATTAATTAATCCACGGAAACCTCTTAGAATGATGCCTGGCACATCGTTAAGTGTCTAATAAATAAAAGCTATTTATAATGGTGATTTCCTGGTACCTGGAAGGCATGGGAAAACTGGTGCAAGTGCGAGGGAAAAGACTAAGAAAAGGAGTTCAAAGGTTCCCAAATTAAATTTCATCTATTTTCAAATGTGCCAATAGCAGAACACAGGTAATGGTAAAGAGTGAAGTTTAAGAAACACACAAACTACAAAAAATTTATGGGCTGAGGGGCTCCAAAGTGAGGAATTAAGGTGAGTGGCCAAAAAGTGGCTTCTCGAGGAGGTGGCAGGCCTGTGGCTAGTTAGCTGCAGTGATCCCAGTGAGCCTCCATGACAGGGATGAGCGGGTGGGCTTTGTTTTCTCCCTGAGCCTACCCTGTAGGCTGTTCTGGCCACTGACTTTCTAGGAGAGACTGTCGGGCACAGGACTGAGGGAGAGATAACAGGTCAGTGCAGATCTAGTCCAACAACTTGAAAATACTGTGAAGCTAGTGTCTTATTTTCTTATATGAAGGGCAGCATATTTAGAGTTTCAGAAGGAGGAGAGGTGTGACTTGGTGTTGAGGAAGATGCCAGGCCAGGAAGGCAACATATGTAAGAAAGCTTCAGAAACTCGGATGAGCTAACTGGTAGGTCCTACAAGGACCATGGAACAAGACAGTCTCTTGTTAAGCACATGCACTGCTTAATTTTCAGAGACAACAGGAGATCTAAAGAGCTACCATGGCTTAGGTCCTACATAGTTTGCAGGGTTACAGGGAAGAAGACTGACTCCTAGAAGTGAGTATGACTCCTGACTTCATTTGGACTATGGCCATTCCTCCCGAGTTAGAACTTGCTAGGAGCATGTTCTCCATACTCCACACAGTAACCTTCCTCAGGTTGACTTAGCACCCACTGTTAGTGGATCAGGTTTGGCTAAGGTTAGGTGTAAGCTGTAGCTTAAACATAATTCACTTTTTTTTTCTTTTTTGAGATAGGGTCTTGCTTTGTTGCCCAGGCTGGAATGCAGTTGTGCAATCTCAGCTCACCGCAACCTCCACCTCCTAGGTTCAAGCGATCCTCCCATCTCAGCCTTCCAAGTAGCTGGGACTACAGGCGCATGTCACCATGTCTGGCTAATTTTTTTTGCTTTTTTTTTTTTTTTTTTTTTTTGTAGAGATGGGGTTTCACCGTGGTGCCCAGGCTGGTCTGAAACTCCTGGGTTCAAGTGATCCTCTCTTCTCAGCCTCCCAAAGTGCTGGGACTATAAGCATGACCCAGCGCACCCAGCCATGATTCACTTTTATGTAAAAGCAGCTCAACAGAGGTGGAAATGGGCTTCCTGCTGCGCTGCCATCTTTAGAGACCATCTTTTTTTTTTTTTTTTCTGAGACAGAATCTCACTCTGTTGCCCAGGCTGGAGTGCAGTGGCACGATCTTGGCTCACTGCAACCTCCGCTTCCCAGGTTCCAGTGATTCTGCCTCAGCCTCCCAAGTAGCTGGGACTACAGGAATGCGCCATCATACCCGGCTGTTTTTTGTGTTTTTAGTAGAGACAGGGTTTCACCATGTTGGTCAGGCTGGTCTCAAACTCCTGATCTCAAATGATCCACCCACCTCAGCCTCCCAAAGTGCTTGGATTACAGGCCTAAGCCACTGTGCCCAGCCCTAGAGACCATCTTGAGGTCCCCACTCCAGCCGTCGCTTCCATGTTCCCATCAGCAGGAAGAACAAAGGAAAGAAAAAGATGAAGGGCACATACCAGTTGTCTTTTGAAGACGTGTCCTACTAACTGCCACACCACACTTCCATGTAAATCTCACTGGCTACAACTTAGTCTGAGGCCATGCGTGGGTACAGGGAGGCTGGAAGATGTACTTTGTATTCAAGGCAGCTATGTACCTAACTAAAAATCAGGGATGGGAGACGGGTGTTTTATACTAAAGAAGGGAAGAATGGATGTTGAGGGGCAACTAATAGACGCTGCTGCACACAGATCGTTAGATAAATCAGTTATGAAAATCTAATACAAATGTAGTTTATATTTGGATAAAAAATATATGCTTACCTAATTACAAAACCAGGAAAGGTAGTATGGAAATAATATTTTACTAGCTCTAGGAAATGACCTGCATTTAATCTTTTTCTAAAGCAAGGAATGCATAGGTACTGCAGGTTTATCCTTTTGCCTTATCCTGCAGGCAAATTGAATTTTTGATTGCTGAATTTTCTACAAGTGGGGCACACTGTGGAGCAGTGATTTACTTTTCTAACCACATTTGCATCAGGCTGATGCTAATGTATGGGGAGTCTACTTGAGAAAGTCTCAAATTAGCTATTTGTAAAGATGACACCACCTCAGGCAAGGAGACAAAATGGAGGCTCACTTCAGGCTTTATGAGAGAACCAGATGCATGTGGACTCTTTAAACCTGACTTGTGTGTAAGAACCCTAGTTCTGTCCACATTAGTGGGCTGAGGGCTAGGGTAGGAATATAAATTTGAATCCCCAAGCAAACATGTGTTCCTTTTCCTGTCAATCCAAGAATGGTCCTCATAGTGTCATCTGGGGGCCACTCCTCCAGGCCTGTAGCAGTGGCTTTGTTTAAGGGAATAGCTAATCTCCAGGGCATGCAGAGGCTGGAGGACACCATCCCCTGAAGGATGGAAGCCTTGAGCTCTGATACAATGAGCAGAGTCTACACACTGAAGTGTAGGGATTTCTACTGGCAGTCAGCTGTGTTAATTAGCATCATGTGTATGACCCAGTCGCTATGGGGAGAGACACAAAGAAATAAGAGGCATAATTCCTGACCGATAAAGGAGGGCACATGGTCAAGCTAAGAAATAAGGCCCATGCAACAGATAAGTAAGGTTACAAGTTATTTGAGTAGGGCCTAGTCAGGGATAGTTTCTTGACCACCTTGAGCAGTCAGGTTTCAAAGGGAATGATCAGACTGTTGATGACTATTCCTTCCCATTTCAGAGAGAGAGAGAGAGAGAGAGAGAAAAGGGGTAGTGGAATTGCTGGCAGAGATTAATGCCATTCACTGAGCTGTGCTTTAGCTAGAAGCTAGCTGTTGATTTCTAGTTCTATCAACATTGAATTAGTTGGACCACTTTTATGCCAGGGAAAAACCATTAGCTGTTAGGAAATCTTTCAAGGGCATAAAATAAGAAACCTTCTAACAATTATATTTTCTTTTTGGTCTTTTTTTTTTTTTTTAATACTTAAGAACAAGGTTCGGCTGGGTGCGGTGGCTCACACCTGTAATCCCAGCACTTTGGGAGACCGAGGCAGGCAGATCACCTGAGGTCAGGAGTTCGAGACCAGCCTGACCAACATGGTGAAACCCCATGTCTACAAAAATACAAAATTGGCCAGGTGTGGTGGCACATGCCTGTAATCCCAGCTACTCAGGAGGGTGAGGCAGGAGAATCACTTGAACTGGGGAGGCAGAGGTTGCAGTGAGCCAAGATTGTGCCACGGCACTCTAGCCTGGGCAACAAGGGCGAAACTCCGTCTCAAAAACAAAAACAAAAACAAAACAAAAACAAGGTTTATGTGTAACCTAAACATGTCTTTTTCTTGCAAAAATGGATGTGAAACTTTTGAATTAGAACTCACTAGCCATACTGAATATCCTAAACTTGATTCATGATCTCAGTTCTCTCTTATCCAAGGTGAGAAGAGGCTCATTAAGAAATGGAAAAGTTGTAAGATACATTGTGAGATTGTTTAGGCATAATCGTATATTGGAAGTCATTTAGGACGCATCTTTAATGAAGACAGATGATGTGCTATTGATGTGAATGTTGTATTTCCCAGCTTGAAGTACTTTCTCACATGACTTTGCATAATTGCTTAGTTGTAGTTTTATGTTGGAAGTGACTTTAGCACGTTTCTAGGGAAGAGATGTTTTGCCACTGAGTGATTTTCCACACTGACATGCTTTTTCAGATGAATCCTAAGATTCACCTTGATTTTATACATTCAAGCCTGAACATTAACCGCTCCCTGGGAACGTGAGTCACCTTTGATTCCTGGGCTTCCTCCAGGACACGAACACTAGGAAGCCAATGTTTCAAGGAGAATTTGACTCAGATTCTTGGCTCTACTGTAGTGTATGTGACTTTTAGACCCTTGCAAGGTTCAAGAGTACTGGGTTTCAAAAGCTATAATGTGACCAAAGTCAGGCTTAAAGCTGCAGAAGCTCATTCCACACCCTGAAAACTTTTCTGAACTCTACATTGAAAGTCTGTTAAAATGTTCCTTAAAACCTTTAAAGGTGGACTTAAGAACAAGAAGTAGAGTTGTGAGCTAAGGCTGGCAGGGTGGGGGAATGGGAGGATGAGACAAATATCAGAAGGATTAGGAAAACCGAGTAGAGGACCTTGAAAATGCTGTTGTCTTTCTTTGCCCCATCCCCTCTCCTCCACCATATTTCTGTCTTTTACCCTTAGGCCTGCACTGCCTGAAAAGAAGGTGGCTGATCTGAGCACTCTGAATGAAGTGGGCTATCAAATCCGAATTTAGCCAAGCCATACCGGCCAGCAAGAGGGTTTCTGTGGTGCTTCTCTCTGCACTTTACCCAGCATCTTCAGGAGGAACTGCAACTATTTATTAAGAACTTGTGAATTTTATTTTTAAGGATTCACCTGGAAATAGAATCTGAGTGGGTGGTAACCATTAGCTTTAAAAAATTCACTAAAAGGCACCATGAAAAGGCTGAAGTAATAAGCCCCACTGGGGTTGGACTATGTCCCTCACTCAAGATCTTAAGGATAACCGTAACTGAAGTTTTATATTTTTCCATTTACCTACTTTCTTTTACTTGCTTTGAACATTATGCCTCACCAATAGTAAATGTTCATGAAATAATCTCTTGAACTTTTGGTATAGTAAGGTAACTCTAACAGTATTACTGTCTTTTTCAGCAATAACAGAAAGCAAAAATGGGTGGGTTTTTTTTAAGCAGTTATTACCTCAGCATTTTGACATCAGATATGCAAACTTAATGGCGTTTTGTTTTTTTATATTCTATTTGTATTCTTTCCCCAGTATTTCCCATGGGGATCTCCACAAGTTTGGAGTTTTTTCCTGGTGCACACACGTGAGGAGATTTAAGGTACTATATGCAAGTGTTTTACTAAAAAGCACTGAAATTCTTCTGGCAATACAAGAACCATTTTCAGGATCTTGGAGTTACTTCCTTCTTAATCTTTCTTAAAGCATTCACTGATGTTTTTGTTTTTTCAAAATGAAACAAAAATATCACATTGAGAAGCTAGTCTATGTTCTGTCACTAACATTTAAACTTTGCAGACTCTAACAAAAAGCACAAGAGGTCACGTACTATTATACAAATTTAGCGGTACTGGATTTACCTCTGACATTAACACACTCAGGCAGAGACCA
The DNA here is from genome assembly GCF_000001405.40 of Homo sapiens. NCBI lineage: Eukaryota > Metazoa > Chordata > Mammalia > Primates > Hominidae > Homo > Homo sapiens. Next base: position 212,989,467 of record NC_000001.11, read on the forward strand.
GGAGTGATCAGCAGGTCTTCAGAACCAAAAAACCTTTCTGTTCACATTTCATCTGATTTTTAAACTGAGGCAGGCTTTGATTCTTCTGAAGGATGCCAAGAATCAAACTAAGGGAGGACTCACTGTTAAAGATGTGTTCTGATGTCTTATATTAAGACCAAATGTGACATGATGTGATTATCTTCCAGTACTTTGCTTTTAGGTACCATTTCATGACATTTTAGGAATGAGTATTGGAAAATATAAAGAATTAGAAAAGCAGCACTTTTTTTTTAATGGAAAAGTCTTCGGTCCAGTGTTACACCTTATAGTGTAATTCAGTCCCTAAGCACAGAATGAATGTCTGGCCTGCATATGGTAGTTACAGTGTAACCTCTGGCTGCAGACCACACAGGACAACCCTAACAGCCTAGTCTTGTATGGTGTAAATATCAAGAGTACAGCTTCAATTTCATTTGCTTTATCTTAGCAACAATGCCAACTCAGGAGAGCAGACGGCCGATTTCAGTGAAGTCTGGTAGTCAACAGATGTTATTTCAGTCTCAGTGCATCTCCTCTGGCTTTCTTTGACTGAAGGTGTTTATAGGAAGGAAGTTAAAAAAAAAAAAAGCTCATTGAGATTCTTTACCAATTCTTTACAAGATTTCTGGGGGTGACAGGGAAAGCAAAAGGACTTCAAAGCAAAAGGGTGCACAAGAGCTTACTTCACCCTGAAAATCAGTATTATTAATGAAAAGTACTGTTTTCTTAAAGAAGTCGAATGTCCTTTAGATGAACAAGACCAAGTATACATCTCCATTAGATTAAAATGTAGCACAGGGTTAAAAATTATCAGTTTAATCTCTTTAAGAACAGTATTATCAGAGTTTAAAATGAGTTAGCTCTGTTTATCTACACACAGCAAACCCATTCGCAGCCTCTTGGCCACATGTATTCAGATGTTTGAAATAGTGAATCATTTCATTTTCATTCTAAAACAATACTGACTTAGCCATATACCTTCTGTTTGTCAATCTGAAACTTGCTTACATCTAATAAGTAGACCTCTTATAACACTGCAACCATTCTAAGAGTTGGAATTTATTTTTGCCAAGTATTAAGTACTGTTACATCTAAAATACAGAATGTCAAATGGTTGCATAGCTTGTTTCCCACAACAAGGAGGAAAAGAACAGGAATACAAACTCTGTAATATGCTGATAAAGAAGCCTTAGAACTGCCAACTGGCTTGATGGTTCAATTAGTAAGCTAATTTCTCCCACACCCGCTCCTTGATTTTTAGACTAATTTTCCCAAAGCAAGGTTTAGTCACACAAACTTGAAAGTACATTTAAAATGTTCTTAGTTGTCATCCTACTTTTATTGCCTATGGAATATGCTAATTTCTAAAAAAAATACGGGAGAGGCACCAAACCCCTAAATTCTAGTGCAATAATTTAAAAAACAAAAAACAAAACAAAACAAAAAACATGTTATATGCACCCCCCTCCCAAAGCTGATTTTAAGACTGGCTAGAATTCAAAATATAAAAAATAAAACTATGAAGTGATTTGAAATCGGTTTTAAAAAGTTGTTAGTGCAAGAGAAATTTTATGTTTAAGCCATCATGGCAATATATGCAAAGTTTAAATGAATGACAGAAATCTTGATTTTAGACTGTATGTTGTGCTGTTTTGAGTACACTTTATTTCGGAGATATTTAGTATTTTCTATACACTCTGAAATCATGAGCATTTCACTTTTTCTAAGTCAATTATTTCATAAGGATTTTATTAATAGATATTGGTAAATAGAACTTTGGAAATCTTAATTCAGAATTCTTACTATACCTGAGTCTTTTGTAAGCTATAGTTTTATGTACAACCTTGTACAGTTTTTTTGACATACAATTCAGAACTTTGTTTATTCTCTTGGACTTTGTTCTGGCCAATACATTTTTTTTAAATCTTTAAGAAGAACTGTGATTGTTTTAGTGGGTATTTTTCTAATTAAATGAAAACTTGTATAATGGTATTTTAGAGAATGCCAGTAAGTGCATGTTTCAAGTTAATGTTTTTCTCATCACTTGTATGTTTCTAACACAGCATGGGACTTTAATAAAACCATCCTGGAAACTTAAGGATTGTTTTTCTTCTAAATATGTAAGATGTGGCCGGGCTCAGTGGCTCAAGCCTGTAATCCCGGCACTATGGGAGGCCAAGGCGGGTGGATCACCTGAGGTCAGGAGTTCGAGACCAGCCTGACCAACATGGTGAAACCCTGTCTCTACTAAAAATACAAAAAATTAGCCGGGCATGGTGGCGGGCGCCTGTAATCCCAGGTATTTGGGAGGCTGAAGCAGAAGAATCGCTTGAACTTGGGAGGCGGAGGTTGCAGTGAGCTGAGATCCCGCCAATGTACTCCAGCCTGGGCAACAGTGCAAGACTCAGTCTCAAAAAAAAAAAAAGTAAGATGGTGTGATTTTTTTTTTTGGTCCTCTTATTATATATTTATTCTACTGAACCTATTTATCGTTCTTTCACCCTTCTTTCACAATCTGCAGACTCTATATTAAAAACACTCTATCACTCTATTTTGACATATCTCAATTCACTCATCTTTTAGCATCACCCCTAAGTAAAAATGGCTGCAAAGGGCAATGAAATAGTTTAGTAAAGGCAACAGTACAGCTTATACATCTCAGTATACCTACCACAAAACCTTCAGGCACAGAAGTACGAGTATAATAGTTTATTACCTAACTTACAGGTACAAAGTGCAAATGACTTGACGCCTCTCTTTCCCCAATCCCTTGAACTCTCTGGATCTCAAACTTTCTTTAGGAAAGCAAAGGTTAAAAGCAGACAGTAACTAAATTCCAAATAAAGACAAGATTTCAAACATGAATATTATCTTGATAGCAAAAGGTACAGTAAAACCAAAATTTCATTACTCCACAGTTTACCTTTCCATTTAAAACTTGGATAGTATAACACTTGAGACTGAGAGATTTGGTTTCAGGCATTAACCAGATTTAATTGTTTTTGGCAGGTAAGTACAGGCTCTGGCAGAGTTACCAACTATTCTGGTCAACAAAAGTAAAGACAAGTGGATAATTATTTTTAGTGGAGCTTTAAAAACCTGTGAGAAGCTCACATTGACTTTTTGGCCTCCAGTCCACAAAATAATACTTCATTTGATAAGCTAAAGTAAAGAGCAATTTTATGGATTAACTCTATCAAAGTGAAGCACATGAAAAATGGGCCTAAAGTCACAATATATTAATCAGGATATAAAAAATTAAATTTTCACAGAGGTTTTCAGGGATGTTTGTTTGTTAACAATGACCTATATGTAATAATGTTATTTGTTAATAAATTCACACAACACAAAGCAGTAATTAACTAATGAATTTTCATTTTTCTTTCCCCAATATTAAAAAGGGATAATTATACTATCATTATAATTTGATAATGTCTATATCTGCTAATTAGGGCACATAATATCCTGCAAACTACTACTATAAAATGTGGGAAATCCTAGAACTATAATTAATACTGTAATTAAAATCCCCCCAAAGGCCAGGCATGGTGGCTCATGCCTGTAATCACAGCACTTTGGGAGCCCGAGGCGGGTGGATCACCCCTGAGGTCAGGAGTTCAAGACCAGCCTGGCCAACATGGCAAAATTCCATCTCTACTAAAAATACAAAAATTAGCTGGGCATGGTGGTGCATGCCTGTAATCCCAGCTACTTGGGAGGCTGAGGAAGGAGAATTGCTTGAACCCAGGAGGCGGAGGTTGCAGTGAGCCGAGTTCGCGCCACTGCACTCCAGCCTGGGCGATAGCGTGAGACACCATCTAAAAAATAAAAAAATAAAAACCCCCCAAAATGAGAAATTAAATATTTAAACATATTCAATTACAATTTTTACTAGACAAATCTTATAATCCACATGCCTTCTCTGAGGTTTTCATCTGTTTGTTTTTTTAAAAATAATTATAGCAAATGCTTTAGTACAAAGACTTAGTCCAAGACTATTATTGTTTTCCAATTTAAGGTGAAGCATTCTATTAATAAAACTCACTGTAAAAACATTTACAATTCAGTGTAAAATTACTACTTAGTAAAAATGCATATAATTCCTTGTTCCTACTGTCTACAAAAAAGGAAATTTCCACTTTTTATGTTTTAAAATTGATTCAAACACTTGTATAGAGGATTTATTAAACCTGCTCATAACCACTTCATAGAAAGTGTCAGCACCATCTCATACTGGTGCATCACGGTAAAAGAAAACATTTTAGAAACAAAACCACTAAAACCAACAGTTTAAATGACTATTTACAGAGCATTAGGTCTCCAAGTTAATATCTCCCCACTAGAGTTTTACAGGCTTCCTCATATTTCTGAGGCTTAACAAAAATAATTTTATAGCTGCCACTTTGTTCCAAAGACAAATTTCCTAATAAAATAAATTTCTATAGAACTGGTTCAGTAAAATAAAATCTCTCCCCTAAACCAGAGATCTTAAAACTGAATTTTTAAAAAATGCTGCCATGTGCAGTGGCTCCCGCCTGTAATCCCAGCACTTTGAGAGCTGAGGTGGGCGGATCACCTGAGGTTGGGAGTTCGAGACCAGCCTAACCAACATGGGGAAACCCTGTCTCTACTGAAAATACAAAATTAGCTGGGAGTGGTGACGCATGCCTGTAATCCCAGCTACTCGAGAGGCTGAGGCAGGAGAATCGCTTGAGCCCGGGAGGCAGGGGTTGCAGTGAGCAAAGATTGCGCCATTGCACCCCCAGCCTGGGCAACAAGAGTGAAACTCCATCTCAAAAAATAAAATAAAATAAAAATAAATAAATAAAAATGCTAGGGAAACAAAGGTATATCCCCAGTCTCTGCCTCTATTAAGCCCACCTCTTGTCTGTTCCAGGGTGAAAGAGTGAGCTTTACACGTTATGCTGGCTTATATTTCCCAAACATTTCCCCAACACGATGCAGGCATATTACATGGCTCAGGACAGTAATAAGATGGATTAAGCATTCTGTACAACTTAAAAAGCATTATCAAACCCCTTCAAAAACAAACTAAACAATGGCTGGTTGGATACCTGTGAATGACCCAAGGCTTTCTAAGATAAACTATTTAGAACTCAATAGAGGGGTCTCCTAATGAAATCAAGCCTTCTGGAAAGGAAACAACTTGTAGTTTGCAAGAACTCAAAGATACTTTGGATCCACTACAGAGCTTGCCAAAATTATGAAATGAAATTTTTTACTAAGCAGACAAAGGAAGATGCATTATATTTAAAAATCACTGTCAATTTTACTAGGATTTAGAATATAAAACCTTTACATCTCTTTTACAATAAAGAGAATTTAGAGCTCACTTGTCACGAAAATATTTTTCATTATTAAAAAAAATTGTTATAAAGTTATTTCTTCTGATATGGAGTTTCAAAGCATCTAACATAACCGCTTCAGAATCTCCACAGTGCAAAAATAAACAACATGCATACACTTAAGAACTTTACATTCTTTGAAAAACAATACAAATTGGAAAGAAAATTAGTATGTGATCAAAGAGAGTCAGAGCTCAAGTCTGAACTTTGCCAATAAAGGCAGATGATCTGAAGAGTTATTTTCGTTTGGAAGTCCATTAACAGTCCATAAGTCTTGTTCTGTAAGAAGTGACAGTCTAGCTAGAAGTTTCAAGCCACCAACCAAAGCAACTTCAGCTCCTACATTAAAGAAGCACACACATATTTAGTAAAATTGTCAACGGGTTATTGTAAATTAATCATACAAGTCTTTTCTCCAAACAAATATAGAACTTGAGGCCCCTCCAGAAGACTAAAAACTATGACACAGTTTTTAGAATATCTAAGCTTTATTGAATTATAACCTAATTATAATTATCAAACACACAGCAGTTTGAGATATTTTTTCTATTTCCAGCTCTGTAAACAATCTTTAGAAGAAAATATAAATGAAATACTTAAGAATGTTAAGGGTAATTTGTGGTTGACAACTACATAAGAAACTCATCCAGCAACCATTCTGTAGTTGCATAAAGCCAGAGACACCGGGCCACAGCCCTGTAGCAGTTTATAAGGTGAATGGAGAATAAATTAGTATAATTTAGTCCCAGATAGTCAGCACCCACAGAAGTGAAGATGACATGCTCTTTTTGAAATGCTGATCCATAACACTCTCCTGCCACCAAGTGAACTTCTGTCAGCATGACAACTACGAAAACCTTACTATAAATTCAAAGCAGCAGGCATATTTTTTGTAGAGTAGATCTAGTGGCAGGAATAAGTCATCTCGTGAGTGTTACTAATAAGGTTATTCCCAGAAGAAAGGAGGGGGGAACAAACAGAGGGGAAAAGGGTAAAGAAAAAGAAGCATCCAAAAAAATGGAAGAGAAAAAAATGAAAAAAATCAGAAAAGAATAAAACAGCTGCTCACATTCCAAAGTTTTCTTAAAGGTATTTTTGTACTTCCAGTAATCTTAAACTGCATTTTCTTCTCCACTTTAAATCCTTTGGCTAATGTTTAAAACCTGATTTTCGGCCGGGCACAGTGGCTCACGCCTGTAATCCCAGCACTTTGGGAGGCCGAGGCAGGCAGATCATGAGGTCAGGAGATCGAGACCATCCTGGCCAACACGGTGAAATCCCGTCTCTACTAAAAATACAAAAAATTAGCCGGGCATGGTGGCGGGCGCCTGTAGTCCCAGTGGCTCGGGAGGCTGAGGCAGGAGAATGGTGTGAACCTGGGAGGCGGAGCTTGCAGTGAGCTGAGATAGCGCCACTGCACTCCAGCCTGGGCGACGAGCGAGACTCCGTCTCAAAAACAAACAAACAAAAAAATTATATAGACTTTTCTGACCGAATGTGGTGGCTCATGCCTGTAATCCAAGCCACCCTGGGAGGCCGAGGTGGACGGCTTGAGCCCAGGAGTTTGAGACCAGCCTGGGCAACACGGTGAAACCCTGTCTCTACAAAAAATACAAAAATTAGGTGGGCATGGTGGCTCATGCCTGTAGTCTTAGCTACTCGGGAAGCTGAGGTGGGAAGGTCACTTGAACCCGGGAGACAGAGGTTGCAGTAAGCCGAGAATCATGCCACTGCACTCTAGCCTGGGTAACAGAGCGAGACTCTGTATCCAAAAAAAAAAAAAAAAAATATATATATATATATATATATATATATATACTTTTCCTCCTCAGAAAAATCCAATATTCCAGAGTCAACATGACAGCATAAGCTGTGTTGCTGGCAGTGTAACTATGGTCCTCCAATGAAGGCAGGACGCCTCGGTAAAATTTAAGCACAAAACTATGATGACCATTAACAACATACTCAGTTCCTGTCACAGGAAAAACAGTAAATTTATGGCAAGCAAAAAGAAAGGGCAATATGAAAGACCTATAACTCAGAGGCTGACTGGAACTGGAGGGTAGGACTGCTAATGTAATTCTTGGGTAATAATTTGCTTGGATGTGTTTTATTGCCTCCCTCATATGCAAGTAATCAACTGATTTATTCAAATATATTACCAATCTGTCTATTTCGAAATATTTTTACCTTCTAGATCTAGAACTTCAACTGGATGTTTAGAGAGCTTTCTTAACTTTAACCTTGAGGTTTTAGCTACTGTGCTCTCTAGGAGAATTTAAGATTACATGCATTCCTTACCTGGGTGCCCAGCAACATCTTCCTTTTCTGCAGAGTAGAAAATATAATCCACAGTTATGGCACTTCGGGAATGACAGGTGGTCACTTCTGGAATTCCAGTGTCAGGAAAGTAATGTGAATAAACAGATGACAAACTGAAATGGTGCTGTAAATTTGAAGACAATCTAAATAGAAAAGAAGAAGTGTTTAGAATCCGAGTTTTTGTAACTTCAAGAATTCCTCCTATCTGAATTTCTTTTTCACTTAATTTCTAGACTAAGACCAAACATTAGGACAAGCTTTATTTAAAAAGACCATATCATAATTTAGTATTAATTTACTTATGCAGTGATATCTAAAACCCATCAATAAAGCCATTATAAATGTGGTTTTTAAAAAAAGCTCAATAATTAACATACTAATGTGTTTTTTCATTATTTATAACGTGTGAATGCCTCCACTTACTAAAGAACATGTATTCTAACAAGTTTTATTGTGTTTTTAAGAAAGAGAATCAAGGGGGTCTTCAGGAACACTATTTGGAATCCTCTAGACTTTTGATGACAGAGAGGCCATATTCTTCTCTAATTTTTCTTGCTATCACATATAATTTTGTACTGCATCTTAAAACAGCTTCTCTAATGGTTTATTATATTTGCCCCATGCACAAATATATGTGATGTTATGAGTAAAAGGTTTAAAGACTATTTTCTAGTGATACTTTATGAATCTTAAGGATCTTTTATGCCTTGAAGGAAAATAAAATTAAAAAAGAAACTTATCCAACAAACATTTACCAAACATCTTCTAAGTTCTAGGCAATATGTCAGGTGCTGAGAATACATAGATGAAGATGTTTCCCTTGCTTTTAAAGTGTTCATATGTCAGGAACAAAGGTAAATCCTTAAAAATGCCCTCTAAGTTTTATTAGCAACTTTTTATGTCTAAGGATTTATAATATTAAACATAAAATAGGGCCGGACGCGGTGGCTCACACCTGTAATCCCAGCACTTTGGGAAGCCAAGGCGGGAAGATTGCTTGAGCTCAGGAGCTCGAGACCAGCCTGGGCAACACAGTGAGACCTCATCTCTACAAAAAAAAAAAAAAAATCTAGAAAAGTAGCTACGCGTGGAGGCACATGCCTGTGGTCTCAGCTACTTGGCAGACTAAGGTAGGAGAAAGGCTTGAGCCTGGGAGGTGGAGGCTGCAGTGAGCCAAGATCATGCCACTGCACTCTAGCCTGGATGACAGTGAGATCAACTCTCAAATAAAAATAATAAATAAAAATAGGTCTTCTGCAAACTCTTATCTATCAATTTTTCAGTTTACAGATATAAGCTATGCATATAAACACTCTGTATTTACATAAAGATACAAAAAAGTATCTTTTTTTTTTTTTTTTTTTGAGACAGAGTCTTGCTCTGTCGCCCAGGCTGGAGTGCAGTGGCATGATCTCAGCTCACTGCAACCTCCACCTCCCAGGTTCACACCATTCTCCTGCCTCAGCCTCCCGAGTAGCTGGGACTACAGGCGCCCACCACCACACCTAGCTAATTTTTTTTTTTGTATCTTTAGTAGAGACGCGGTTTCACCGTGTTAGCCAGGATGGTCTCAATCTCCTGACCTCATGATCCGCCCGCCTCAGCCTCCTAAAGTGCTGGGATTACAGGCGTGAGCCACCGCGCCCGGCCTCTTTTTTTCTTTTAATTTTTAGACACCAAGGGCAAGTAAGGTATCTATTTTTTAAAATTATTATCATTATTGAGACGGAGGCTTGCTTTGTCACCCAGGCTGGAATGCGGTGGTGCGATCTCGGCTCACTGCAACCTCTGCCCCCCAGGGTTCAAGCAATACTCTGCCTCAGCCTACCTGGGATTACACGTGCATGCCACCATGCCCGGCTAATTTTTTGTATTTTTAGTAAAGATGGGGTTTCACCATCTTGGCCAGACTGCTCTTGAACTCCTGACCTCGTGATCCACCCACCTCAGCCTCCCAAAGTGCCGAGATTACAGGCACGAGCCACCACGCCCGGCCAGAATGTTTTAATTTTTTTTTTAATAGAGGCAGGGTCTCACTGTGTTGCCCAGGCTGGTTTCAAACTCCTGGGCTCAAGCAATCCTCCCGCCCTGGCCTCCCAAAGTGCTGAGATTATAGGCGTGAGCCAACACGCCCAGCCAATATCTTTTTTATATCCTATATTGTTACAAAAAGATTTAAGAGTTACTCAAAACGAAGTACTTGTTAGATTAGCCTCCTTATTAATCTTATTCAAAGAAGTTTTTACTATATTGAAAGGTTTAATCATGAATTTTAAAATATTCATTTAAAAAATTTTTTTAAAAATTGCTTCCATTCTTACTAGTTCTTATTTATGTAGTAATATTTTCTCAAAACAAGGTATACAAAATAAAGATTGAGAAGCAGATAAAATAAATGAGAATTGGTCCCTAAATTTAAATGTTAAAACAAAAAACTATAAAACAGCCACAATATAATTAACAATCAAGATATTTCAAGAATCTCCCTGAGACAAGATTTAAGTCTCTGTCCTGTTTTATTAACATGTATCAATTTCTCAACCATAGCCCCAAATATTCCTATTTCTTTAATGAAGAATTCCAGCATCTTCACCCCTCTGACAATCTTCTCCTACAGTTCAAGAGATAAATTAAAATGATCATCTTTTCAACTGGCATATTCATTTTTGGATCAATTCTCTTATAGATGGTTTTGAGATTTAGTAAATCAAAGACAACTAAAGATCCTTTTGAGATCTGAAAGATATTTTTATGTGATCTTGACCTTTGTTTAAGTATGTGAATTTCAAAGAGTATTTGAGCTGGTCCAGGTCCACAGACAAGCTGTTTCCCTTCCTAACACTACCTAGGTGCCTAGGTATGTTTCAGACATTGTGCTTTATATGCTTTGTCTCATCTAATCCTCACAACAATCCAAACTATAGACAAAGAAACTGAACCTCAGAGATGTTAAGTTTCTTGCTCAAAATCATTCGGCTAAAACACAGCAGAGTCAGGACTGGAACTCAGGCCTATCTGACTTAAGGGCCAGCACCCTTCACCAGCACGGAATACTATCACCTTCATTTTTTTATCCAAGTGATTTTTGAGAAATGAGTTTTTTATTCAACTAAAGTTAGCAAATGTCTCCTTTTGCTTTCCAGAACTCACTTTTCAGCTGTCACTAGGACCTCTGTTTGCTTCAGCTGTGTTTGTGTCAGATCACTGTCTGTAAGAATAGAGGAAAATATATTAATGTTATTGTTCTAGTTTGCCTTAATATCGTCATCTTACTCTAGAAACAATATTTAAGACTTATCTAGGTTAGAAAGATGCCTAGTTACATGTTTCATTCTGGAATCTATATATTTCGATGGCCTCCAGAATTAGGAAAAATAGAAAAATGCAAACAATTCCAAAGCAACATGCAAGTAAATCATGCACAGATAATTCTGGAAGTTCAACTTTAAAAAGGTAAATTTAGAGGTCTTAAGAAAAAAAATGAATAACTACATATTTATATATATGAATATTCATCCCTGAGATTTTTTCTTTTTAAAAACTTAGTTTTATGTCTTCAAAGGGAACATGATTACCCAGCAGACTGCCAAAATGTATTACAAACACTTACCTGTCTTTTCTACTTTTGGTACCTGCTGTACCTCATACACACAGTTCTGTGAGATACCTAGGTTTGGGGGCCAAATTGGAATAGATAAAATTCTTTGTCCCCGTGAAGACTGTTCCTGGCCAGATACCTAAACAAAATTTCAACAGGTATCTTAAGTGAAAAGATTTTAAATAGCTTATGAGTTGAAAAATTTATGTCTTAAATAAAAGGTAATCCAAAAGTGGTAAATTATTACCCTTTATTCATTGTATTAAGTGATTCTTTGGACTTATAAAATCTTCTTTTCTTTAAATACAATTCAGAAAGCACTTATCATTTACATAAAAATGACAATCTTTTTCCCATACATGCTTTTCTTTAATTTGGACATACAAATCATCTATCGCTTTGAACTAACACTATTCATCATTTTTTACTACCTGCAATATAGTTCCTATTGTATCAAATATAGGCATGCTCACAGGTACTGCGGGTTTGGTTTCAGGCCACCACAATAAAGTGAGTATCTCAATAAAGCAAGTCACATAATTTTTTCAGTTTCCCAGTGCATGTAAGTTGCGTTTATACTATACTGTAGTTTACTAAGTGTGCAATAGCATTATGCCTAAGAAAATACATACCTTAATTTAAAAATACTTCATTGTTAAAATATCCTAACAATCATCTCAGCCTTCAGTGAGTCATCATCTTTTTACAGGTGGAGGATCTTGCCTAGATATTAATGACTGCTGGCTGATCAGGGTGATGGTTGCTTAAAGTGGGGGTTGGCTGTGGCAATTTCTTAAAATAAGACAACAATGAAATTTGCTGCAGCCATTGATGCTTCCTTTCATAAAAGATTTTTCTGTAGCATCTGATGCTATTTGACAGCACTTTATCCACGGAACTTTTTTTCAAAATTGGAAACCCTTCCAATGTTTTATCAATTAAATTTATGTAACATTTAAAATCCTTTGTTGTAATTTCAGCAATGTTCACAGCATCTTCACCAGGAATAGAATGCATCTCAAGAAAATACTCTGCTCATCTATAAGAAGCAACTCCTCATCTATTTAAGTTTTATCATGAGATTGAAACAATTCAGTTAATTCTTCAGGCTCCACTTCTAGTTCTCTTGCTATTTCCACCACATCTACAGTTACTTCCTCCCCTGAAGTCTTGAACCCCTCAAAGTCATCCATGAGGGCTGGAATCAACTTCTACCAAACTCTTTTTAATGGTGATATTTTGACCTCCTCCCATGAATCACGAATGTTCTGAATAGCATTTAGGATGCTGAATCCTTTGCAGGTTTGCAATTTACTTTCCCCAGATCCATCAGAGAAATCACTTCTATGGCAGCTATAGCCTATGAAATGTATTTCTTAAATAAGGAGACCTGTAGGTACAAAATTACTCCTTGATTCCATAGGCTGCAGAATGGATGCCGTGTTAGCAGGGATGAAAAAACATTCATTTCCTTGTACATCTTCATCAGAGCTCTTGGGTGACCAGGTGCCTTGTGAACGAACAGTAATCTTTGGAAAGGAATCTGTTTTTCTGAATAGTGGTCTCAGCAGTGTGCTTAAAATATTCTATGCCATAAACAGATGCACTGTCATCCCCAAGCTTTGTTTTTCCACTGACATAGCACAGGTAGAGTGGATTTAGCATAATTTTTAAGTGCCCTAGGATTTTCAGAATGGTCAATGAATGCTGACTTTAACTTAAAGTAACAAGCTATATTAGCTCCTAACAAAAGAGTCAGCCTGTCCTTTGAAACCAGGCACTGACTTCTTCTTTCTAGTTATGAAGTCCTAGATGGCATCTTCTTGCAATATAAAGTGGTTTCATCCACATTAAAAATTGTTGGCCAGGTGCGGTGGCTCATGCCTGTAATCCCAACACTTTGAGGGGCTGAGGCAGGAGGATTGCTCAAGCCCAGGAGTTCGAGACCAGCCTGGGCAACATGGTGAAACGCCACCTCTACCAAAAAATATTAAAAAATTAGCCCGGCGTGGAGGCATGCACCTGTAATCCCACCTACTTGGGAAGCTGAAGCAGAATCGCTGGAACCCAGGAGGCAGAGGTAGCAGTGAACCGAGATCGTGTCACTGCAGTCCAGCCTGGGCAACAGCGCGAGATCCTGTCTCAAAAAAAAAAAAAAAAAAATCTATTATTTAGTGTAGCCACCTTCATCAATGATCTTAGCTAGATCTTCTGGATAACCTACTGCAGCTTCTACATCAGCAGCACTTGCTGCTTTACCTGTACTTTTATGTTATGGAGATGGCTTCATTCTTTAAACCTCATAAATTAACCTCTGTTAACTTCCAACTTCTCTTCTGCAGCTTCCTCATCTCTCAGCCTTCAAAAAATTGAAGAGACTTAATGCATTCCTCTGGATTAGGCTTTGACTCAAGGGAATCCTGTGGCTGGTTTGATCTTCTATCCAGACCACTCAAGCTTTCTCCATATTAGCAATAAGGCTGTTTTGCTTTCTTATTATGCCTTCATACACTGGAGTAGCACTTCTAACTTCCTTCAAGAACTTTTCCTTGCATTCACAACTTTGCTGTTTGGTGCAAGAGGCCTAGCTTTTGGCCTCTCTCAGCTTTCAAAATGCCTTCCTTGCTAAGCTTAATCATTTCTAGCTTTTGATTCAAAGTGAGACATGTGAGTCTTCCTTCTACTTGAACACTTAGAGAGCGCTGCAGGGCTATTACTTGGCCTAGTTTCAATATGGTTGTGCTTCAGGGAATATAGAGGCCCAAGTAGGGGGAGAGAGATGATTAGTGGAGCAGTCAGAACACATTTATCGATTAAGTTCTCATTTTATATGGGTACAGTTCATAACACCCCAAAACCATTACAATAGTAATATCGAAGATCACTAATCTTGGATCAACATAACAGATGTTAATAATAATGAAAATGCTTGAGTAATGCAAGAGTTACCAAAAGGTGACAGAGACAGGAATTGAGCACATGCTGTTGGAAAAATGGCAATGATAGAGCTGCTTAAGGTAGAGTTGCTATGAAACTTCAATTTTGTAAAATGCAGTATGTTTGAAGCTCGATAAAGCAAAGCACAATAAAATGAAGTATACCTGTACTAAGAGAGATTAACTCTTACAAAATTTTAAACTTATTGGCTGGGCATGGTGGCTCACGCCTGTAATCCCAGCACTTTGGGAGGCCGAGGTGAACCTGCAGGTCACCTAAGGTTGGGAGTTAGAGACCATCCTGGCTAACACTGTGAAACCCCATCTCTACTAAAAATACAAAAAATTAGCCGGGCTTGGTGGTGCAAGCCTGTAGTCCCAGCTACTCGGGAGGCTGAGGCAGAATTGCTTGAACCTGGGAGACAGAGGATGCAGTGAGCCGAGATCCCACCATTGCACTCCAGCCTGGCGAAAGAGCAAGACTCCATCTCAAAAAAAAAAATAAATAATTTTAAACTATTACTCAAAACTCCAGTGTTGGAGAGCTTATTTTGGTAAATATACTGAAGATGAAATGATCTAAAGTAAGGAGAGGAAAGCACAATAAAAATAATCACGAGATAAATTGTGCTAAGCTAAAGAAAATATTTATTATTCTACAACGGAAACTTGTATAATAAATGTTAAATTACTATTTTGCCCACAACCAGCATTCAAAATTCTATCCTGCCACCTTGTGTTACTTATCGGTGAAGTATCCATGTCTGTCAATACTTTTTTTTTTTTTGCTGCCTGTTAATTCCTCCAAGCAGTATGTTGCCACAGATAGATGAAAAAGATATAAATCAACCAAGTGAAAATAATTACTTACTAGAAGAAGCTGGGCACAGTGGCTCACGCCTGTAATCCCAGCACTTTGGGAGGCCGAAGCAGGTGGATCACGACGTAAGGAGTTCGAGACCAGCCTGGTCAACAAGCTGAAACCCCGTCTCTACTAAAAATACAAAAATTAGCCAGGTGTGGTGGCACACACCTGTAACCCCAGCCACTCGGGAGGCTGAGGCAGGAGAATCACTTGAACCCGGGAGGTGGAGCTTGCAGTGAGCTGAGATCATGACACTGCACTCCAGCCTGGGCGACAGAGTGAGACTGTCTCAAAAAAAAAAAAAAAAAAAAAAAAAAAGTCATGGAAAATCATAGTTTGATAAAGTGAGGGTACTGGATCATCCAAGGTTTTCAAATAGCCATGTAATGACTATCTTCACATTATCATGAGCAGAGCAACTATGTCCACTCCCTAATAACAATGAAGAAAGCACTTACCTTTCCTATGGGAAGTCCTTCATAATTCAATTTTCCTTCCTTTATGAAACTATATAGTGGAGAACCAGGAACAGAATTAAAGTCACCACACATAACAATAGGGCAGAAGCTGCCATCTTTCTGGTGGGCAACACTGGAAATCTCTGCCAGTAGCATTGCCAATTGCGTCAGCTTAATATCACCTCGCCTTGGATTATACAACAGATGCGTATTTGCTACGCAGATTGCAGGGCAGGCAGCATATGGAATTTTGGGCTGTAAGAGTAAAACTAATCCAACATTGTCTCTGTCCAACAGAGAAATATCAGGGCGGAAGAATTCCACTGGGTTCACTGACAAGAGTGAAAATTTGGAATGTTTGAAGCAAATAGCACAGCCATCAGGTTTCCTTCCTGTCCGCATCTTATATTCACAGTGATAACCTACAAGAAACAAATGAATTTAAAACAAATGACTGCTTTTATATATTTATCAAAACACAGCTCACCTGATACTTCTGAACAATGTTTACCAAACTGTATTCTGCAAAACATTAGTAATGTAGGATGTCAATAAACATTGGAATAAAAAACGTTTGACACTGGGTCTAACAGGCCTCTTTATGCGCAGACTTCAGCCCTTGATATGCTAATGTGTATTATCAGTCTCCCGTTGCCATCCTAGTAAAACTTAGTCATGGCAATAGTAAAGCTTTATAATAATCTATTCTCTCACTCTCTCCACCCTATATTCCTGATCTTTTTGCCTGTAACTCCTTCCCCCTCACTTCATTCCAATCTCACTGGCCTCCTCACTTGCCTTAACACACTCCAACCTCAGGGCCTTTCCCTTGCTATTTCTGTTGCCTAGAATGTTCTAGGCATCGCTTATTCCTTCACCTCCTTCAAATATTTGTTCAAATGTCACCTCGTCTGATCATTTTGTTTAAAACTGAAACCTCTCCTATTCCACTTTCCTGCTTTTCTCCAGAAAACTATCATTACTTAATATGCTATTTACTTATTTATTTGGTTAGCCTTTCTCCACCAGAAGGTACACTCCACACAAGGGAGAAATTTTTTTAATCTTTTTTGCCCAATGCTATATCCTCATTCCCTAGAACAGTGCACGGTATATAGTAGGCACTCAAAAAAAAATTGCTAATGAAGGCCAGGCGTGGTGGCTCACGCCTATAATCCCAGCACTTTGGGAGGCCAAGGCAGGCGGATCACGAGGTCAGGAGATCAAGGCCATCCTGGCTAATACGGTGAAACCCCGTCTCTACTAAAAAAAATTCAAAAAATTAGCTGGGCATAGTGACGGACGCCTGTAGTCCCAGCTACTAGGGAGCCTGAGGCAGGAGAATGGCGTGAACCTGGGAGGTGGAGCTTGCAGTGAGCCGAGATTGCACCACTACACTCCAGCCTGGGCAAGAGAGAGACTCTGTCGCAAAAAAAAAAAAAAAAAAAAATTGCTGAATGAATGAATGCAAAGTAAGCACACTTCTCAAGTATATGGGACCACAGATAACTTGTTTCTAGGAGTGTTTATTTATCAAACAGGTTTTTGGCATCTATCCATTAGGTAGACACTGGCAGGCACTGGTATTATAATGATGAACGAGACAAAATGGTCTCCTGGAGCTCAGAAGCTTATAGGTCTACAGGTGGACAGAACAACTCCTAGGAAAGGGAGCTACTAAGATATTCTTACACATCTTTCTGTTTGAATTAAAATTATACACCAACACAAAAGTTTCCAGTGAGTACCTCAATCTTTTCCTCTTTGAAATTAAGTTTTTAAAATTAAGATTTTTAGCCAAAATATGCCACACATCTTTGTCAGCAAGTTATACTTTAATGACACATGAATTTTCAAAAGTAAATTTGGCTAAAAGTTACATTGCCTTGTCTCTATAAAAAAAATTAAATAATTGGCCGGGCATGGTGGCACACATCTCTAGTCCCAGCTACTCAGGAAGCCGAAATGAGAGGATTACTTGAGCCCAGTAGGTTGAGGCTGTAGTGAGCCATGATTGTGCCACTGCACTCCAGTTGGGCGACAGAGTGAGACCCTGTCTCAAAAAAGAAAAAAAAAAAAAAAAAGTTGCATTGTACCCAGTGATTCCAAACTTGGCCTGATCTCTGCTCCATAATGATCTTCTTGAACTTCTTGCAAACAAAGTACCTTGGAAGAAAAAAATAGCTTGAATTAGAACACAGAGATGCAATCATGAATTTCCTGGTGCTTTTATCTTAAAATATCTAAAAGCAGGCTTCTAAAATTCCACACCTGATAAGAATTGAAATAAAAGACTTACCTGTTTTTCTTGTTATAGATCTACCAAATTAATGTTTCCGAATTTTGATCAATCTCAAAACTCTGGCCCTCAATCACATGGAGCTCCCTTAGTACTCAAAATTATTATTTCCAAAAGGAAATATTCTTAGCTTACATGTCAGGATATTTTTCCGGGTTTTACATGTTCATTGGTACTATCTTTCAGGTCTTAAGAGGCAGATTTCTTTGAATGCTATCAGGTAGGTGACATTTTTGCATGAATTACTGAAATTTCAAATCAAAGTTAATATTTACTGAATACTTAATATGTTGCCAGTTTCTGTCTCAAAACTGACCCATACTTAAAAACTTTTTGGACCCTCTTTGAAAAGTTAGATGATTATTCATACCAGCAACCACTAACAAATGCCTCTCTGAAAGTTATACCTTATTAAGACTTATTCCATCATTATTCTTAAACATATTCCTTTCTTACCCCACAAACAAAATGGATAAAACCATTTAGTTCATAAATGCACAAATGAAACATTTAACCCAACTTTTTCTTTCTTTCTTTTTTTTTTTTTTTGAGGCAGAGTTTTGCTCTTGTTGCCCAGGCTGGATTGCAATGGTGCAATCTCAGCTCACTGCAACATCGACCTCCCAGGTTCAAGTGATTCTCCTGCCTCAGCCTCCTGAGTAGCTGGGATTACAGGCATGAGCCACCACGCCCGGCTAATTTTGTATGTTTTAGTAGAGACGGGGTTTCTCCATGTTGGTCAGGCTGGTCTCAAACTACCGACCTCAGGTGATCCACCTGCCTCAGCCTCCCAAAGTGCTGGGATTACAAGCATGAGCCAGTGTGCCCGGCCCCAACTTTTTCTTATGTGAAGAATTTCAATAATATTTTGCACTTACGTCTGCATCAAAATGTTTAATTTCTTTCAGAATATTGGGAAACCTAAAACTCCAGTGTAATACTGGCCGCCGGCAATGTCTATAAAGGTGAGAGTTATCTTCCAGTAAATCTTGTGAAAGTATATTATAGGACATCACTGAAAAGTCAAACTTGTTCTCACTGTCTTCACATTTGGGATCAACATTTTTGTCTCCTAGGATCTTCGTTTTTTCTTTATCATGGCTACATATATATTCCCAATTCCGCTTTATCACACCTGTTAAAATATATTGCACAAATATAAGGAATTAATCAAAAGCAGACCATACAGTTTCCCACATATATGTATTTTTCAGCCTCTTAAAAATTCCCATAAGCAATGAATAGAATGTTTTTCCCTAGGAAGTGGCAATATAGCACTGAATAATTAGAACTGTTATCAAATTGGTTACAAATGCGGTAACACAATATACTGACCAACAGGTTTAAAACAGGTTTAAAAGAATCTTGCAAGTCATTCTGGAGGCTGAGAGTATGTGTTAACAAAGCTAAGACTATACAGAGGTTGTGGTTTCTCACTTCTCTACAGTTAAGAAGTGGCTCTGCCACAGATGTGATTGGCAGTTTTATAACTATAACAACAAATTTGTATGTCAAAGTTGGCTTTTCAATAAGATGATTTTACACTGTATTTTATTCCCTATTAGTGGGATAAGATCGTCAAATGATTAACCAAGTTCCAGAAGCAACCCTTAGTTCAGAATTCTAGTTTATACATGAAAGAAGTGTATATAATGGCAATATATGGAAGAAGTTTTAGTGTTTAAAACACTGAAGTGGAACATGCAAACAAAATAACAAAAGAAATCTTTTAAATGTACAACAAAGGAAAAGTTAAATATGACATAGCTACAGAATGCTAGTAAATGATGGCTAACCAACAAACCTAGCATGCAACAACCAGGCGTGTGTTCATATTCTGCAAACACATCATGCATTCTGCAAAAGTGATGAAAAGAATAAAAAAACACAAGACTTTGCAATCATAGGCAGTCCCTGACTTAGAAATAACCGTGTGTGTGATGTGTGTGTGTGTATTCACCTTTGATCTTGTCTCCTACATCCTATCATTAAAGAGCATGCTCTTACTGCCATGGAAACCATGAAGAGAAACACGGAATTTTTGGAGAATTTATGAGTTCAAAAGAGAAAACAAAAAAATGGGAAGAACATGGGAAAACAGATTTGGAAATGGACTTCTAAGTATGATTAAATTATATAAAAAATTTCAGCCCCTAGAATATCTCCCTCTATCCTGCAAAGGTTTTCACTTCACTGGAATACAATGCCTGGAATTCCACCAATCAAAAATTAAATTGAAGTTAAAATATCCTATACACTTATATAGAGGGTGAAATAAAGACTAAAAGGAAACACACCCATATTTTTAAGAGTAGTTATCTCTGAGTGTTAGGACTGTGAAATATTTTTGCAAATCTTCTGCACAATACATTTACAATCAAAATATCAATATGCTATTTAAAAATGCCAATGAAGTAATCATTTTAAAGTATGATTAGGCCAGGCACAGTGCCTCATGCCTGTAATCCCAGCACTTTGGGAGGCTGAGGCGGGTGGATCACCTGAGGTCAGGAGTTCGAGACCAGCCTGGCCAACATGGCGAAACCCTGTCTCTACTAAAAATACAAAAATTAGTCGGGTGTGGTGGCATGCACCTGTAATCCCAGCTACTCAGGAGGCTGAAGCCAGAGAATCGCTGTAACCCGGGAAGCAGAGGTTGCAGTGAGCCGAGATCGCGCCATTGCACTCCAGCCTGGGCAACAAGAGTGAGACTCCAACTCAAAAAAAAAAAAAAAAAAGATGGAAAGAAACAAAACCAAACTAAACAAAAGTCTTCAACTATGAAGAATTTTGCCTAGAGCCTATCCTATGCCCAGGAAAGGAAACTATCCTCTTCCCTATCATTCACTGAAGATAGGAATCCTACCCCCAATGGCTCAGAACTAAGGCCAATTGTACTGGCTCTGCAGAGCCATTCAGATTTATAACAAAATTTCTATAGGGAAAACAGAACTGATTGGCCGGGCGTGGTGGCTCACACCTGTAATCCCAGCACTTTGGGAGGCCAAGGCGGGTGGATCACAAGGTCAGGAGACCAAGACCATCCTGGCTAACACCGTGAAACCCCGTCTCTACTAAAAAATACAAAAATTTAGCCGGGCGTGGTGGCGGGCACCTGCAGTCCCAGCTACTCGGGAGGCTGAGACAGGAGAATGGCGTGAACCTGGGAGGTGGAGCTTGCAGTAAGCTGAGATTGCGCCATTGCACTCCAGCCTGGGCAACAGAGTGAGCCTTCGTCTCAAAAAAAAAAAAAAAAAGAACTGATCATGTGTAGAACACAATTCATTCATAAACTGGAGACTGTCTATGATGGTTTTAGCCAAATCAAAGTCTTCTTATGTATACAAGATGGAAAGGGTTCCAGTCATGCAAACAATATATAAGCTATCATCACAGATGGAGCACTACCCTGGTTTCACTGCCATATTAAAATATGAAAATTAAGGTCTAAAAACCTTATTCATATTTCCTTATAAAACATGTACATGTAATGGCATATAAATGCATTAAGATTTTTATTGTCCTGGTCATTAAAGTTTATAAACAACTCTTTTTGCAATTCCATTTTTTAAACAACCAGGACCATTAGTTTATCTGGTTACTACAGTGGCTTTCAAACTTCTACAACTTGTAGAACCCTTCTGTGTTACTTTTCATGCCATGGAACACCAATCCCTGGCATGCTGGGACTGGGGCTGGGATGATGGGGTGAACACATATTTTATACTGACCACATTTGCTTTTAATAAACTTACAGAAATGTGTTCAAATATGAGGGTTCCATGGAAGACAATTTGAAAACCACTGATAAGAGTGGATAGTCTCTGGCCTTCATATGCTTCACAACATAAATTCACACTACAAAAGCTTATATACCTTCCATATCAGGAGGAACAAGGTGATCACAGCAGAGAAGACAGATGAATCAAAGAAAGTAAGCAATAGGCCTGATCAGGTTTTTAGGGTGCCTAATTACAAAGTCATAATTGTATCACACAAATCCTTCAAATACCACTTTAAAGTGATAGGCAAGTTAGCAATGCTGTTTTCTTGATTGAAAAGTATTAGTGAAATATCGGAAGTCACAAATATGGCTTAACGAAGAGCATTTTCCTTATTCACAACACCTAGGAAGAATGGACATATAGAAAGTCAGGTTGTAATCAAGCTTTATCAGTAGGTAAATGTAATTCCCCATCCATTAAGGGAAAACAACACCATAATTTTCTGAGTACCTACTATGAAGCCAACAGTGTGTTAGGCACTTTGACATACAGTATCTCATTTCATTCAACAGACTTTCAAGTAGGCATTATTTTACACGAAAAAATCAAGGAGCAAAGAGGTTAAGTAAGCTGTCCAAGTTCATATAATTAGTGGTGGGGCAGAAAAGAAAGCAGGGAGTGGTTCCTAAATCAATGCTTATGTAGCTATGCCACAGCTCCATCTGAAAGCATCCCAGATTTCTAAGAGGCTAAACAAGAGGAGTGTGCTGACCTGATGGACAAATTTTTATGAGTGAAAAGCAATCTGGTATCATCATACTGCCCTATATTTATAGATCTTAGGATTGTTCTTAGAAACCTAATTTTAATGCCTCTAAATACACCTTTCATTCATTCAAATATTTCTTGTTTATCTCCCTATGCTGTGGTTAAGTACTATACACAAACAGATTTTCACTTTTGGACAGTTAAGAATTTCTACAAGTGTTTTTTTCTGACTAGGTCCTTTGTAACTGTGTAGCAATAAGTTACACATTTATTTGAATATTAGCTTAGCAAAGTTGATTGGGACCCAGCTGAAGCCTGTAGACTACTTTCTGATAACAAAACCAGAGGGAACCTGAAGAGCACTAATTCTAGCTTTGATTTCCAGATGAGACTCACCTTGAATGCCTTCCTTTGACAAACTTACATGTCAGCTCCCTAAACATTAACACCCACACATCCTTCTCTCAAGTTATCTTCAGAGGAATTATCTTCACTGAAAATTATGGTTCAATAAGAAAGACAATTCCAAATTCTACCTAGACACCTCACTTATACTTTCAGGAGATGGGGTTGTGATGGGGGCAAGACTGGCAGCACAGAGGGAGTCTAGTGAATTGTTCAGAGTAGAAAGAATATGAAAAAATAGAAGTAAATTAACACATTTTAAAAAACTGTTTCTCAAAGTGGAATAAGATGTGGTTCCCTTTCTTAAAGATAATACTTCGGGCAAACTCTCAAGATTTTATCTATGGACCCAATTTGAGATATACAGATGTAATAAATGAAAATCTTATCCTATAAGACCATGTCTTCCATTTATGATTGCTTCTATTTATGAGTCCTTTCGTCTTCCATAAAAATGTTAGCTTAAAAATGAAAACACTAAATTTTTTTTAGATCTGTAGACTTCTAAGCATATAGCCATCAATTTCTAAGAAGTCTAAGGGCCTTTGTTTCAAAAACATTGGATTTAAAAATTATCCTTAAATAAAACTTACTTTTGTAATCTATTTCTCCTTTCTTTGCCAATCTTATTCTATCTGTAGACTCATTTCTATTTTTATAGTCAGAAATACACAATTAGTTGAAGATAAAAATAAAGACTTCATTTAAGGAAGAATTCATTTTTTTCTAACATAAAACTACTGGCTAAAAGTCAACACCAAACACCTCTAAAACCTTAGGAGGTTTAAAGGATTAGATATGAAAGTTTCAATTTAGTCTATCACTTGTATCTATTTCTACACCAAGATAAATGTCACCTTTACCTTGGTGTTTTCTTCGTTTTGATGAAGGCTCATCTCCCTCAGCGTTCATGACGTAACTAGAGAGATGAATCAAAGATGTCTGGCTCAGGTTGTCAGGTCTCCAGTTACAGTACTGGAACTGAGTTCTAGACTCAAACAAACAGGGTGGTCTCCAATTTAGTGAAAAATGCCTACTACTGAAGTATGGGTAAGGAGCTCGAGAGTAATGTCCAGGCCACCTCATACAACTAGAAATATGTCTGTTCCAGCAACACCTTTGCAGATTCTCCCACGGTGTAGTCCAGTCTCTGCCCAGACTCCTCGAGTGATGGGGAAACATGGGGTATCTAAAAGAAATAAATACACTCCTTGAGGCACCACTTTTTGTTCAGCTATAGTTTACAAAATCTAAGCCTGTTTCCTCAAGGGAAGGTAATGTCTAATATTTAAAATCTGGCTGCTAAATCTGTGAAGGATGAAGAGGAAAGCACCCATGATTTACCTATTGGCATCAATATCTCAATACTCTCGTCCTAAAAAACCATGAATGGTATTCTGAATACTTAACACAGAATGCCTCCCAGGCTCCCAAAATACCACATACCCCTGAAAATGTACATAGTTCAACTGAGAGATGAATCAACTATCAAAATGATATTCAGAGTAGCTTTCAAGCACCTACAAAACTCAATGAGAAAATAAAATACACAACAAGTATTATACTGAAATCGAATAAGGAACTCATATCACACTACAATTAAAGTAAACCTCTCCTCCAACTTGGAGTAATAACAAGTTTCTGAACAGTTTTTTATACCAAGGGCAGATTTTTCCAAACACTTGTATAGTTAGGAAAACAAAAGCCTATCCACAACTTCATAAATTCACAAAACTACTTCTCTTACTAATCAACGGGTGGATAATTTATTTCTCCATTCTTTTTTAAGCATGATTCTCGTTGGGGGAAATGAAAGAGGATGGGGATGACGTACTACGAATGCACCAACACTCCAAACCAACAG
The DNA here is from genome assembly GCF_000001405.40 of Homo sapiens. Lineage (NCBI taxonomy): Eukaryota > Metazoa > Chordata > Mammalia > Primates > Hominidae > Homo > Homo sapiens. Next base: position 213,014,094 of record NC_000001.11, read on the forward strand.
CTTCAATTTAACCCATCATCCAAAACATCTCCAAAGTGGCGCTAACATTTTTAATAGGTATGTTGCTCTCAGGCTCTCAAGAAACACTTCAGCTTAATAAAGCACCATGTTCCTCTCACTATACTACTTTGGCAAAATGTTAAGATTCAGAGAAGGACTTTTATCCTTTCCTCCAAAATTCTTAACAGCTACATTTCTACCACAGCATCAATAATGTGCGCTCCCATCCCTAAGGGAATTTTGTTTAAGTTGCGTTTACTGTTATTTAACTTTATACGCTGTTATTCTCGTTTTAACAGCATTTAAATTTTTATTATAATTTTTACAGTTTAAGTATTCGCTAGTTGTTCTCTAAAATCTACTTAATTGTAAATCTTTAAAGGCATAACATGGGCATTCTACACTGCTTTGTGATAACTCTGAAAGCCATAGGAATTTGGGCACTTGGTCCATGCATTTTCTATGCTAATAAGCCACTGTATTGAAATATAATACTTGTACTACAAAAGCTATTATCTATATTTGCAGTTATTTATTCAGACTTTTTTTTCTCTTAAGATGTTAAGCTCCTTCAGGGCCAGAACAGAACCGTCTTATTCATTTTAATTCCGTTATCTTCACAAGTGCCTAGCACAGTGCCTGGCAAACAGCTGGTACTCAGGAAACATTGTTGAACTGAATTACCATCAAGTCCCAGGCCTATGGGAGTTACAACCAAATCCCCATCGCTTATGTAATAATACATGCTGTGTTTCCCAAGCGTGGTGGGTGGTACACGAGTCGGTTTCACAGAGTACACAGTTAAATTACTTGATTGTAATTTCTAAATACTTATGTTAGTTTATTAGGAAAAAACATAATCGCACATCAAATCCAAGACTCTGCAGACACTGCTTAGGGTGAAGCTAATGTGGGCAGCACCTACTGAAGTGCTTTTTAAAAAAAACTGAGTCAATTTAAAGAAAAATATCCAGTAAATAATACACGTGAAACAAGAACTTGGCCATAACAGTAAGGGATGACATACAAGTGACTAAAGTTTGAAAGACACTAACACATCAACAAAAATCAAGCCCCTCCTGGGCGTGTGCCACACACGCGCCTCCAAGGGATCAGGCCCGCCGAGACCTACTGCGGAGAGGCGGCCTCCCCGCCGACGCTCGGTTCCCGGGACGGTGCTGCGGAGTGTGTGGAGCAGGCCAGCGCTGGTCTGGAGGCTGGGTTGGGGGAAGCAGGCCAGGGATCCAAAGCCACTGGCACAAGCCTGGCCGGCGGCCCATGAACTCCGCGCCAAGACCCCAGACCTCGTTGGCCCAGCGTCCCGCCAGCTGCGCGGCGGGTTTACCTATCCCGCTTGGTCTCTGGAGGCTCGTCCCGGATGCACCATCGCCCAGACCCTCTTCCTCTTCCTTCCACCCCTAGCCCGCCCCGCCCCGCCCCGGGTTAGTCCCGGACGCCCGCCCGCTCTTTCAGGCCGCCCGCCCCTCTCTCCTCCCTCCGAGTACCCAGCCCTACTGACCGGCCTCTTCCCACCACACAGTGGCCGTAGCCCTTCCTCACACAGCGCCAGGCTTCCATCTTCGCCCTCCGCGTGCGTCCAGTTCCCAGGCCCCGGGTTCCACCTCAATCTCTATAATCGATGCGACGGCCTAAAGTATCTAGGGAACCCCATCACTCTTAAGTACCGACTCCAGTCCTGGCTGCAAGGCATGCTGGGAGGTGCAGTCTCGCCGGCCGGCCTACACTCCATCTTGCGCAGTCAGAGTCCCTGAATGCCTTAACCCGGAATTCTGCTCAAGGAGCATGCGCAGAGCGTGGGACGCGCGTGCAACCATTTCTGAAGAGGGCAAAACACCCGAACTTCGTCTTAAAGAAACAGAAATAAACTTTCTTTTTTTTCTTTTTCTTTCTTTCTTTCTTTTTTTTTTTTTGAGATGGAGTTTCGCTCTTGTCGCCCAGGCTGTAGTGCAATGGCACGATCTCGGCTCACTGCAACCTCCACCTCCCGGGTTCAAGCGATTCTCCTGCCTCAGCCTGCCAAGTAGCTGGGATTACAGGCATGAGCCACCACACCCGGCTAATTTTTGAATTTTTAGTAGAGACAGGGTTGCACCATGTTGGCCAGGCTGGTTTCGAACTCCTGACCTCAAGTGATTCGCCCGCCTCGGCCTCCCAAAGTGCTGGGATTACAGGAGTGAGCTACCGCGCCCGGCAGAAATAAACAGAGCAGTGAAAATTTTTAATTGCCCAAAGTGCAGATTCCCAGCTGAGGCTGAACAACGCATCCTCTGGGTGCCCATGGAACTGAGGTACCACAGAATTTTGCAATTAATGTTGCGGAAGCACAGCCATAGCTCTCACTTTAAAATGTACGTGTATGGGCCGGGCGCGGTGGCTCACGCCTGTAATCCCAGCACTCTGGGAGGCCAAGGCGGGCGGATCACGAGGTCAGGAGATCGAGACCATCCTGGCTAACACGGTGAAACCCCGTCTCTACTAAACATACAAAGAATTAGCCGGGCGTGGTGGCGGGCGCCTGTGGTCCCAGCTACTCGGGAGCCTGAGGCAGGAGAATGGCGTGAACCTGGGAGGCAGAGCTTGCAGTGAGCAGAGATCGAGCCACTGCACTCCAGCCTGGGCGACAGAGCGAGACTCCGTCTCAAAAAAAAAAAAAAAAAAAAAAAAAGTACTTGTATGTCTTGTGTGTCCACCTTTATTAAATGTATTATAGGACTGTAGATTGTTGAAAGACATTATTTAAGTGGAGACCCTGCAAGAAACAGGAAGAGAGAAACCGAGAAAGAATAAAGTGTGGAGAGTAGAGGGGAAAAGGATACTAGAAGGCAGGAGCACTGCTTTTATAGGCTCTTTGAAACAGTGGTAATTTCTTGGGAAGGCTTTTCTTATCCCTGGTGCATAAAAGGAAGTAAAGTGTATTTGAAAAAAACCTTTCCCTCAGTATGTAATTGATTCTTGTTATTTGCAGTAGTTAGGTTCTGTAAAGTTGCTGGAAACACTGAATTAGTAAATACTGAATCATTACTCCTAAGGGAAATACAGGATTAGGATCCTGTAAGCCTCTGGTCGCATTTTCATCAACTTAATCAATACATAGTTTTGTTGTATGTGTGTTTCCGCTTAAAGACATCTTATTTAATATATATTGTTGATTCATTAACATTGAACTCAGTCAACAGCACTATAATTCATACCTCAACAAAGCTTATCTAACACTGCTATTTTCTCTGCAAGGCTCATGACAGCCTTCTTGTGCTTAGGAGCACTATACAGCACAACGCTTGGGGACCATTTTAAACAGCAACATCAACAAAAAGTACAAAAACGTGAAAAACATATCACTAAATGGAATGTGAAAAGGACACTTGGTCCTGATGGCTCACGCCTGTAATCCCAGCAATATGGGAGGCCAAGGCGGCTGGATCGCTTCAGCCAGGGAGTTCAAGACCACACTGGACAACATGGCGAAACCCCGTCCCTACAAAAAATACAAAAATTAGCCGGGCATGGTGGCTCTCGTCTGTAGTCCCAGCTACTCCAGAATTTGAGGTGAAAGGATTACTTTAGCCCGAGAGGGCGAGGCTGCAGTGAACCAAGATAGTGTCACTGTACTCCAGCCCTGGCAACAAGGGGACACTATGGTATAGCATGAGAGCTGAAACAAAAAGGCAGAGAATGCCTTGTTTAGCCTCAGCTGGGAATGTGCACTTTGGGCAATTAAAAATTTTCCCTGCTCTGTACATGTCCAAGAATACATGGAGGTTACAGATCAATTTTAGCAAGTAGGCAAATTTGCAAATATGGAATCCACAAATAATGGAGAAAGACTGTATTTCTGTTTTATACTGCCCTATTTTCTAGTTGTACTCACAATTTTGTAGTTCATTAAATTGACTAGTAGTTTACTGTATGTCTTGTCTTTATAATGAGATTGTAAATAACTTCTGAGGAAAGACCATGACTCATTATTTCCAAAATTTACTTGACCTAGTGCTGTGCTAAGTACACAATATATAGTAGTAAAAATATTTTTGAATGAATGGTTAACAGTGGGCCAGAACTTGGGACTTGTGAATGACCAGAAGCTTTTTCCTTTAGCACACCCTAAGAGGTAAGGAGAAATGTAACATTTTTAAATAAGTAAAAGAAATTAATAGATATCTTTTCATGCAGTGTTGGAATTTGGGGGTTTATCTGATCCTAAAAGATATTTGCCTTTATCTGGGCCTAGACTATTGCAAAGATTAAAGTTAACTTGCAGGGCGCTTGTGGCAGTGCAAATGATTTTTGTCTATGGACTTGTAAAATAATTCTACCTAGTTGGGGGGAGAACTCTCCATCTCTATGGAAAAGCCAGTTTTGGCTGCCTGCAGTGGCTCACACCTGTAATCCTAGCACTTTGAAAGGCTGAGGCGGGAGGATCACGAGGTCAGAAGTTCGAGACCAGCCTGACCAACATGGTGAAATCCGTTCTCTACTAAAAATACAAAAATTAGCAGGTGTGGTGGCATGCCTGTAATCTCAGCTACTCAGGAGGCTGAGGCAGGAGAATCGCTTGAACCTGGGAGATGGAGGTTGTAGTGAGCCGAGATCGCGCCACTGCACTCCAGCCTGGGCGACACAGCGAGACTCCATCGCAAATAATAATAATAATAATAATAATAATAATAATAAATTAAACAACAACAACAACAAAAAAGCCAGTTTTGCACCATTTGCAAGATCAATATTTCTGATCTATAAACATGTCTGCTCTTTGGATTCTCCTTTGAACAGGTGATAACATCTGTCTGGTTCACCTATGTAATGAGTTAAATAAAATGGCTGGGTGCAGGGGCTCACGCCTGTAATCCCAGCACTTTGGAAGGCCAAGGCAGGCGGATCACTTGAGGTTAGGAGTTCAAGACTAGCCTGGCCAACATGGTGAAACCCCGTCTCTACTAAAAATAGACAAAAATTAGCTGGGTGTGGTGGCTCATGCCTGTAATCCCAGCTACTTGGGAGACTGAGGCATGAGAATCGCTTAAATCCAGAAGGCGGAAGTTGCAGTGAGTCAAGATCGCACCACTGCACTCCACCTTGGGTGACAGAGTGAGACTCCGTTTCAAAATAAATAAAATAAAATGACTAATGTGTTCGTATTATATCTGTTTGAGAGTCATGATTTTACCTTTTTTTTTTTTTTTGGAAAATTATCTTTTAAAAGTTCAGTAGTTCCCACCAAGATGCCCAATGTATTCATCTGACAGAGGCAGGTGAATTTTATCACTGTAAAAGTACACTTCATGGATTGCCTGAGTTCTGGCAATTTTCTTGCTCCCAGAGATAAATCTAAAATGGCAAAAGCATGTTGCTGAGTCTTTGTTTTTCTAATTTTTATTTTCTTCTCCAGTAATTGTGTGTTTTTCTTTGGTTTGTAGAAGCATATCTTGTGTTATTGTGCTTCACTTTATTATGCTTCACAGATACTCTGTTTTTTGCAAATTGAAGATTTGTGGCAACCCTCCCTTTTGCAATTCTATTGATAACGATTTTTCCAACAGCATGTGCTCACTTTCTTTCTCTGTATAACATTTTGGTTATTCTCGCATATTTCAAACATTTTCATCATTCTTATATCTATTATGGTGATCTGTGATCAGCGGTCGTTGATGTTACTATTGTAATTGTTTTGGGGCACCACAAACTGCACCCATTCAAGATGGCAAACTTAACAAATGTGTGTGTTCTGACTGCTCTGCTGACTGACCAACCATTCCCTGTCTCTCTCCCTCTCCTCAGGCCTCCATGTCCCCTACACAATATTGAAATTAGGCCAATTAATAACCCTACGATGGTGCCTAAGTGTTCAAGTGAAAGGAAGAGTTACAGATCTTTAAATCAAAAGCTAGAAATTATTAAGCTTAATGAAGGGATGACAAAAGCTGAGATAGGCCCAAAGACAGGCATCTTGCACCAAACAGTTAACCAAATTGTGAATGCAAAGGAAAAGTTCTTGAAGGAAATTAAAAATGCTACTCCAGTGTATGAAGGCATGATAAGAAAGCAAAACAGCCTTATTGCTGATATGGAGAAAATCTGAGTGGTCTATATAGAAGATCAAACCAGCTACAACATTCCCTTAAATCAAAGCCTTGTCCGGCGTAAGGCCCTAACTCTCTTCAATTCTATGAAGGCTGAGAGAAGTGAGGATGCTGCAGAAGACAAGTTGGAAGTTAGCAGAAGTTGCTTCATGAGGTTTAAGGAAAGAAGCTGTCTCCATAACATAAAAGTGCATGCGGAAGCAGAAAGTACTGTTGGAGAAGCTGCGGCAAGTTATCTAGAAGATGCAGCTTTGATTACTGATGAAGGTGGTTATAATACACAACCGATTTTCTGTGCAGATGAAACAGCCTCTGTTGGAAGAAGATGCCATCTAGGACTTTCATAGCTAGAAAGAAGTCAATACCTGGCTTCAACACTTCAAAGGACAGGCTGAGTCTCTTGTTAGCAGCTAATGGAGCTGGTGGCTTTTAGTAGAAGCCAATGCTCATTGATCATTCTGAAAATCCTAGGACCCTTAAGAATTCTGTTAAATCTACTCTGCCTGTCCTCTATCAATGGAAGACAAAGCCTGGACAACAGCACATCAGTTTATACCATGGTCTACTGAATATTTTAAGCACACTTTTGTGCTTAGAAAAAAAGACTCTTTTCAAAACGTTATGCTCATTAACAATACACCTGGTCACCCAAGAGCTCTCAGTTGAATGTTATTTTATCCCTGCTAACACAACATCCATTCTACAGCCCATGGGATCAGGGAATAATTTTGACTTTCAAGTCCCCTCATTTAAGAAATACATTTTCTAAGGTTATAGCTGCCACAGAAGGATCTGGGGAAAGTAAATTAAAAACCTTCTAGAAAGGAGTCACCATCTTTGATGCAAATCTTCTGGAAAAGATTTGCCATGTTAGATGCCTTTCAGAACATTTTGATTCATGGAAGGAGGTCAAAATTTCCACATTAACAGGAGCTTGAGAGAAGTTGATTCCAGCCCTCATGGTTGGCTTTGAGGGGTTCAAGACTTCAGTGGGGGTAGTAACAACAGATGTAGTAGAAATAGCAAGAGAACTAGAATTAGAGCTTGAAGAGGTGATTGGATTGCTACAATCGCATGATAAAACTTGAACAAATGAGGAGTTGCTTCTTTCGGATGAGCAAAGAAAGTGGTTTCCTAAAATAGAATCTACTCCTGGTATAGATGCTCTGAACATTGTTGAAATGACAACAATGGGTTTAGAATATTATATAAACTTTGTTGATAAAGTGGAATGAGTATTTCAGAGAATTGACTCCAATTTTGAAAGACATTTTCTACTGTGTATAAAATGCTATCAAACAGCATCACATGTACAGAGACATCTTTCATGAACGGAGGAGTCAATCTATGCAGCAAAGTTCATTTTTTTCTAAGAAATTTCCACAACCATCCCAACCTTCAGCAACCACAAATCTGATAAGTCAGTAGCCATTAACATAAAGGCAAGACCCTCCACCAGCAAAAAATATTATGGCTTGCTAAAGGTTTAGTTGATTGTTTGCAATTTTTAGCAGGAAAGTACTTTTTAATTAAGATACATACTTTAGGCCGGGCGCAGTGGTTCACACCTGTGATCCCAGCACTTTGGGAGGCCAAGGCGAGTGGATCACTTGAGGTAAGGAGTTCCAAACCAGCTTGACCAATATGATGAAACCCTGTCTCTACTAAAAATACAAAAATTAGCGGGTGTGGTGGTATGCGCTTGTAATCCCAGCCACCCGGGAGGCTGAGACAGGAGAATCGCTTGAACTTGGGAGGCAAAAGTTGCAGTGAGCCCAGATCGCGGCATTGCACTCCAGCCTAGGCAACAAGAGTGAAACTCAGTCTCAAAAGAAAAAAAAAAAAAGATACATACTTTGTTTTTAGACATGATGTTATTGCACACTGAATAGACTACAATATAGTGTGAACATAATAACTTTTATATGCACTTGGAAACCAAAAAATTTGCATGACTTACTTTATTGCAATATTTGGTTTATTGCAGTGGTCTGGAACCAAACCCACAATATCTTTGAGATGTGCCTGTACATGGCCAATAAGTTATTTCCCTCTGTTGGAAGCAATGATTAAGAGTTTGGTTACATGGTCTAACCATTTGGTGATCTCTATAAAAGGACTAGTGGTTTACAGAGATATAATTTCTGTTGAGTGAGAGACAACAGAAAACCTTGTATGTTCTTTTTATTTATTTGTCTATTTGCCTATTTTGAGTTCAACTCAAGAATTTTGTGCCCGTTGGAAGGAGAACGCTCATTTATATCTGGACTGGTGAGTTTTTGTATTCCTGTGTTTACTCTTGACCCATGGTTGAAATGGTAGAATTGAAGCCATAAATTCTCCATATATCTGTGTGTCTGTAATTTATAAACGTCTTTATACCTCACTATGTGAGTATAAGATATTGTCCTGCCTCTGTAAGGTATTATGAATTAAAATCTAGTTTATTTTTATCAAAGGATCTCTGCTCTGATTGGCTTATAGAGATAAATAAGCACTTACATAAATTTAATTCCTAAAATTACCTGAAAATAAGTAAATCAAGACATTCCAAATGTAATATACTTTAAAGAAAAATAGACGGCTGGGCACGGTGGCTCACACCTCTAATCCCAACACTTTGGGAGGCCGAGGTAGGCGGATCACAAGGTCAGGAGATCAAGACCATCCTGGCTAAGATGGTGAAACCCCGTCTCTACTAAAAATGCAAAAAACTAGCCAGGCATGGTGGCTCGTGCCTGTGGTCCAGCTACTCAGGAGGCTGAGGCAAGATCATTGCTTGAACCTGGGAGATGGAGGTTGCAGTGAGCCAAGATTGTGCCACTGCACTCCAGCCTGGGTGGGAGAGTGAGACTCCATCTCAAAAAAAAAAAAAAAAAAAAAGAAAGAAAGAAAAAATATATATATAGAAACTAACTCAGAAATATTTTAAGAATTCAAGCTTACATCATTAAGGTCAATCTGTAGTGAAAGGTGATTTCTTTTTTTGAAGTAGTTTAATGTTAATAAGAATTGGGTAGGGAGGAACATTGATTGATTTTTAGAATACCATCCAACCATAATTGCATACCTAGTCAGGGATTGAGACAATGAAGAAGGGTGGGCAAAAAAACCTCAGAGACCAAGGTCTCTGCTAAAGAGAAGCCAAGTATTTTGGACAGGCACACGGAGATTCATATACTATGGATGAAATTCAGGAACTTGAATTGGCTGGGGTGTGGGTAGCCAATATGGCAAAAGTATGAGTTAAACCTCACCCAGAAGGACTGAGGTTTGAAAGAAAATGGAAGTACTTCAGAACTCACATTTCTATGAAATGGAGAGAGCTTGGACACTCACTGGGAGTTGTTCTCCCTGGCAAAAACTAAAGTAGGTAAAACTGTCCTCTCTTCTACTGGTATTGCCAGATCTGATTACAGAAAAGAGAGGAGGATTGAGAGGTACAGTGTAATGAAGTCAGTGTGTCTCCTGTCCTGAGGAATAAGTCACTAGTGGAGGTACTTTCAGAGTGTGACCAAGATACAGGGAATCTCATTAAGGACTGTACAACTAGAAATTGAGAAGGCTAGAGCTACTGAAATGTGACAGAGGAAGAAACTCAGCATATGAATTTTCAGCAAATAGCAGAGACCCTTAGAATTATCTGAAAATTGATTGTTTTTCAGATCCCTGAGCAGGAGAGTGACCATTTCAGCTATCTGGTCTAGAATATCCAGATTGGCTCAGAAGACAAGGCAGAGCCAGGGTTATGATGGAGGAAAAATCCAGAACAGACTAGAAAAGAAACATTTTATTTTGACATGCCTATATAAGGCCTTCATTAGTTTCTAGAGGGCAAGAGTCACAAGTTAATATTAATAGCACAACAAGAGGCTGGGTACAGTGCCTCATGCCTATAATCCCAGCACTTTGGGAGGCCAAGCGGGAGGATCCCTTGAGCCCAGGAGTTCAAGACGAGCCTGAGCAACATAGTGGGACACTGTCTTTAAAAAAATAAAAAGTAAATAAAAATTAGCTGCGCATGGTAGTGCACACCTGTGGTCCCAGCTATTCAGGAGTCTAAAGCAAGAGGGTCACTTGAGCCTGGGAGGTCGAGGCTGCAGTGAGCTATGATCATGCCACTTCACTCCAGCCTGGGTGACATAGTAAGACCCCGTCCCTGCTCTCTCTCCTCAACAGAAAAGCCATAACAAGAGCATAGCACTTTGCAATTTGTTAAATTCCAATTTAAAAAATCTTTCCAGATACTATTAAAGTTCTATCTTTATACCAGATGGATGCCAATGACATTTTCAAATTCAAAATTCATTCACTCATTCATTTATTTATTTATCTCCACACCTGGTTTAAGAGATAAAATATTACAAATACAGTTGAAGCCTTGGCATCCCATCTGCAAACCCTTTTCTCTCCATCTCCCAAGATGAAACTACCATCCTAAATTTAGTGCTTTTCATTCTCATATGTGCCATTATATATTTTTATATGTGTATTATAGACAATATATAATAATTTTATATAACATATTTTAGAACTACATATAATTTTTATATATAGTAAATATATATATAATTTTAAATATATAATAATTTTATATAACATATTTTAGAACATATTTAGAACTATGTAGATGGTATCATACTCTGTATCTTTTTCCAACTTTTCAGTCTCAACATTATGTTTTAAGATTTAACCATGCTTATACCTGCAATTCTGGTTAATTGCTTTTTCACTACTATATTCCAAATACAAATCACAATTTATTAATCCTTTATTCTGCTGATATACATTTAGTATTTCTCCTCCTTCTCATGTTCTCTATGCTGAGAACTTGATGAATTCCTTAGTTCTACTAACTTACTAATATTTTCTTTAACTGAGAAAAGTCTATACTGTGTTTTGTCTATTCAGTATTTATTTCAACTGCTATATGTTTTTTTATTTCCAAGATTTCTTTGTTGATTTTTTCTGCATCCCCTTTTTTGTTTTATTTCTGCTTGCTTTTATAATTCCTTATTCTTGGCCAAGTGCAGTGTCTCACACCTCTAATCCCAGCATTTTGGGAGGCCAAGGTGGGCAGATCACGAGGTCAGGAGTTTGAGTACAGCCTGGCCAACATAGTGAAACCCCATCTCTACTAAAGATACAAAAAATTAGCCAGCATGGTGGTGCGCACCTGTAATCCCAGCTGCTTGGGAGGCTGAGGCAGGAGAATCGCTTGAACCTGGGAGGTGGAGGTTGCAGTGAGCCAAGATCACACCACTGCACTCCAGCCTAGGTGAGAGTGCTGAGACCAGCTCGGTCGGGGAGACCCTAACCCAGCGGTGCTAGAGGAATTAAAGACACACACACAGAAATATAGAGGTGTGAAGTGGGAAATCAGGGGTCTCACGGCCTTCAGAGCTGAGAGCCCTGAACAGAGATTTACCCACATATTTATTAACAGCAAACCAGTCATTAGCATTATTTCTATAGATATTAAATTAACTAAAAGTATCCCTTATGGGAAACGAAGGGATGGGCTGAATTAAAGGAATAGGTTGGGCTAGTTAACTGCAGCAGGAGCATGTCCTTAAGGCACAGATCGCTCATGCTATTGTTTGTGGCTTAAGAATGCCTTTAAGCAGTTTTCCACCCTGGGTGGGCCAGGTGTTCCTTGCCCTCATTCCCGTAAACCCACAACCTTCCAGCATGGGCGTTAGGGCCATTATGAACATGTTACAGTGCTGCAGAGATTTTGTTTATAGCCAGTTTTGGGGCCGGTTTATGGCCAGATTTTGGGGGGCTTGCTCCCAACATGTCCCCCTTCTCTGATTTCCAAAGCGATAAAAGCAAAGGCAGCTTTGTCACGGTGAGCTACTTCTTGCAGGAGTCAGGATTCACATCTGCAGACTATACAAAGACAAACAACACAAATCAAAAGCACAATCATCATTGAAATCACAGAGCTTCCAAGTGTTTTTATCCATTTCCTTTAAGCACTCCAGTTCCTGGCATTAAGGTCAGGTGTGCCTGGGATGCTTTAAATATTTGTTCTTTAATTTTGCTATATCCAAAAACAAGTTTGTAGAGTGTCCTTCTAGATGCTTTTTTATTCTTTCCCAAATTTTGATCTTATTAAGAGTTATTAATAGTTTCCACAAATCCTTGTGTTTAGCTCCCAGAGCAGGCTGTATCATGAAGTTGAGGTGCCACTATACTGCCATGGTTCCAGATAATAGGAACTCTTGCCATACTTCTTATATCTACCATCTGATCATTTTGTTCAGATCAGCTGAACATAGTGTGGCCATGGCACGCAGACTGAGAGGTGCAATTTAAGCTAAACATCCCCTTAGGGGACCAATTAATAATGATTCCATAGGAATCGTTGTGCAGCACCTCTGCCTGTTCTGCAAAGCAATCTTCCTAAACAAGTACGTTCATTTTTTCTAACTGGGTCCAATCCTATTTACAAAAAGGTTTTTGAGGGCAGTATGCCTCAATTATAGGAGCAGATTTATTATGGTAAATACTGAGATCAGAAAGCATGTGTAACTGTGTCATAGAGTGATTGCATCCAGGCATTATTGCCAGCCAAGATTGATAAATATGCCCAATAAGTATAATTGTTCTCTGTGTCAGCCCTTGTTGAAGGAATACTCATGGCAGTGGTGATAACCGCTATCATAGCTACCATTAAATTACTCATTGTGACTGGTTGTCCTGCTTTCCTCAGGTTTTCTTCCACCATCTGTGACAGCTTCTTGATCTGTCCCCTGGTGGGTGGCTGTGTTCAACAGGTGTTGCTCGTGACAGTTGGGGTCCTCCTCAGTGTCAGTCTCCACATGGCTGCAACCGAGGGGTCCTTGGGATCCTCCTGGAATCTCTTCCTCAGCATCTAGCTCATGATAAGGTTTCAGGTGTCTTGATGATATCCAAATCGGCTGTTGATTTTGGCCTGGAGAAACACAAGCATAACTTCTATCCCAAGTTATTATTTTACCTATTTCCCAACTTTTTGTAATCGGATCTCTCCACCAAATCAGTTGTTCTGCTTCTGTCTTTGCAGCTGGTTTCTGTAGATGCTGTTCAGCTGCTGATAACATCTGGCCTTTGGGCAGGCTCAAAAAATTTAAAGTTAATAATGTTAGATTCAGTTGCATTTGTGGGGTTCCATATCTCTGTCTCCCACTTTCTGCTTTTGCAACTGCTGTTTTAGGGAGATATTTATTCTTTCCACTATGGCTTGTCCTTGAGAATTGTATGGGATATCAGTAATGTGTTTAATATTCCACATAGAGAAAAATGTAGCTACAGCTTGGCTAGTATAGCCTGGGGCATTATCTGTTTTAATAGAAGCTGGAATGCCCATCACCGCAAAACAGTGCAAAAGATGACGTTTAACACAGGCAGAAGACTCTCCTGTTTGGCATGTAGTCCAGACAAAGTGAGAAAAGGTGTCCACACATACATGTACATAAGCTAGTCTCCCAAATGAGGGAACATGTGTGACATCCATTTGCCAAAGAGAGTTTGGTTCCAATCCTCGAGGATTAACTCCTGCTGTAAAAGATGAGGAATGTACCATTTGGCAAGTTGGGCATTGCTGGATAATAGCTTTAGCTTCTTTCCAGGTAATGCTGTATCTGCATTTGAGACCAGAGGTATTAACATGGGTTAAATTGTGAAAATGTCTAGCATTAGATATTGCATTAGCAACTAGGTGATCGGCCATTTGATTCCCTTCAGTCAAAGGTCCTGGAACAGGTGTATGAGCCCTAATGTGAGTGATGTAAAAAGGGTGCATTCTACTTCTAACTGCTCTTTGCAATTGGGTAAATAAAGTCATCAGTTGTTCATCTGTATGAAATCATATCTGAGCATTTTCAATTAACTGTGTGGAATGAACCACGTATGAAGAATGAGAAATCACATTAATAGGCATATCAAAAGCAGGCAATACCTCAATTACGGCTACAAGGTCCACTTTTTGAGCTGAAGTATAGGACATCTGGAAAACTACTTTTTGAGCCAAAATAAGAAGTTTTACCATCACTAGACCTATCTGTAAAAACATTCTCAGCACCTTCAATTGGTTTAAATTTAGTTATTTGGGGTAGAATCTAATTAGTTAATTTCAAAAACTGAAACAGCTTCGCTTTAGGAAAATGATTATCAAGAATACCTACAAAGTCAGCTAAATGGGTTTGCCAAGTAAGACTATTTATAAAAGCTTGCCTGTATTTGTGCCATCATGAGAGGGACAATAATTTTTCCAGGAGCATATCCATGTAATTTAACAATCTGAGTTGTCCCAATCCCTATCATAGTAGCGATTTGATCTAAATAAGGAGTTAGAGTCCATGAATTAGTATGTGGAAGAAAAAGCCACTCTGCTAAGTCCTGTTCTTGGACAATAGCACCAGTAGGTGAATGTTGAGTTGAAAAAATTAGGAAATCTAGAGTCTTCTCTGGATCTATTCTATTTATTTGAGCTTTATGGACTTGCTTCTCAATCAGTTGTAACTCTGCCTCAGCCTCCTTTGTTAATTGCCGAGGGCTAGTGAGACTAGGATTTCCTCTAAGGACAGAAAACAGATTACTCATGGCATAGGTAGGAATGCCTAGAGCAGGTCATATCCAATTAATACCCCCTAGCAATTTTGGAAAGTCATTTAATGTTTTTAGTTGATCCCTACATATGGTTACTTTCTGTGGCACAATGGTAGTGTCATTTACTAAGGTTCCCAAGTAGGAGTAAGGAGTAGTAGTCTGAATTTTGTCAGGAGCTATAATTAAACCAGCACAAGAAATCAAATTTTGTAAGTGATCATAACATTGGAGTAATATTTCTCGAGTAGGGGCAGCACAAACTATATCATCCATATAGTGAATAATGTAACACTGAAAATTTTTTATGAGTAAGTTCAAGTGCTTGCCCCACATATGTCTGGCAAATTGTGGGACTATTTAACATGCCCTGTGGCAACACTTTCCAGTGATAATGCTTAGCAGGCTGCAGGTTGTTTACTGCAGGAATTGTAAATGCAAACCTTTCACAGTCTTGCTCAGCTAAAGGGATAGTAAAGAAACAGTCTTTTAAATATATGATTATTAAAGGCCATTTTTTTTGGAATTAAAGCAGGAGAAGGCAATCCTGGCTGTAATGCCCCTATAGGTTGTATAACTGAATTGATAGCTCTTAAGTCAGTTAACATTCTCCATTTACCTGATTTTTTCTTAATTACGAAAACTGGAGAATTCCAAGGGGAAAATGTTGGAGCTATGTGCCCATTTTCTAATTGTTCAGTAAATAATGTCTCTAAAGCCTCCAGTTTCTCTTTACTTAGCGGTCTTTGTTCTATCCAAATTGGCTTATCTGTTAACCATTTTAAAGGTATAGGTTCTGGTGGCTTAACAATGGCCACCATCAAAAATGATATCCTAATCTTTGGCGGGAACTTTGTCTTTCCACTTGAAGCAGTTTTTTTCAAACCTTGCAAATTTTTTTCTAGTCCCATACCAGGGACATACCCCATTTCATGCATCATATGTTGACTTTGAGGGCTATATAATTGTTCTGGAATTAGAACTTGTGCTCCGCATTGTTGTAATAAATCTCTTCCCCATAAATTTATAGGTACAGAAGTTATAATTGGTTGAATAGTCCCAGGTTGTCCATCGGGTCCTTCACAATGCAAAATATAACTACTTCGATATACTTTGGGGCTTTACCAGTTCCAACTATGTTAAATTGAGAGGGCTGAATTGGCCACATGGGCGGCCAGTGCTGTAGAGAAATGACTGAAATGTCCGCTCCTGTATCTACCAAACCTTTAAATTTCTCTCCCTGAATAGTTATTTCACAGGTAGGGCATTTATTAGTAATTTGATTTACCCAATACACTGCTTTGCCTTGTTTATTTGTGCTTCCAAATCCTCCTGTTCGTTTAATTTCACTTTTTCCCATTCCCACATATGGCACAATCAGGAGCTGTGCTATACGCCCTCCTGGCTCTGCTTTCCAGGGAACAGAAGTAGATATAACAATTTGAATTTCCCCATTGTAATCTGAATCAATGACTCCTGTATGTATTTGCACCCCTTTTAAACCTAAACTAGACCTTCCTAAAGGTAATCCTATTGTCCCTGCTGGCAAGGGTCCACAGACTCCTGTTGGGACCTTTTGCAGGGGTTCCCCAGGCAGAAGGCTCACAGCTTTTGTGCAGCATAAATCTACTGTGGCACTACTGGCTGTGGCAGGGGATAGACATTGTACGGGGGTGAGAGAATGGCCTGAGCTGGAAATGTCCCGGTTTAGAATGGGACCCAGGATGGGCCCCTCGTGGCATTTCCCAAAATCGGGTTCTCTTCTTTATCAAACTTAGAGTGACACTGATTAGCCCAATGTTTTCCTTTTTTACATTTTGGACATATTTCAGGATCAGCAGTTTTCTTTTTTCCCCTGTCTGGCGGCCTGACTTGCTGATTTTTTTCTACATTTTTGTTTAGTATGACCATGCTTCCCACAGTTAAAACAAGCTCCAGGGAATGGAGTATTTCCTTTATCCACTCTCAGTCCTGCCATTGCCTGTGTTAGCAGAGTAGCTGTATGCAGATTACTTTCGATACCATCACCTTTCCCTCTGATAGGTCGCAGAGCAGCCTGGCAATCGGGATTAGCATTGTCAAAAGCCAATAACTGCAACACTATATCCTGAGCAGCCGAATCTGCAATCATCTTTTTAAGAGACTCCTGTAACGGAGCTATAAAATCAACGTATGGTTCTCTTGGTCCCTGTTTTACAGCACTAAAGGAAGGGTATTTTTCTCCACCTGAAGTGATTTTTTTCCCAAGCTCTAATGCACACTGCACTAAGCTGTTCTATGGCATCATCCTGCATGACCAGTTGTGCATGTAAACCAGCCCAGCTGCCAACCCCCAAAAGTTGGTCTGCAGTTATATTAATTTGAGGTTGGGCCTGGGCATTTTGAGCAGCCTGAATGGAAGCTTCATCTGCTCACCAAGTTTTAAATTATAAGAACTGAGCAGGAGTTAGACAAGCTCAAGTAAGAGCATCGCAGTCAGTAGGTATCATTTGACTGGAAACAGCAACATTCTTTAACAGTCCCATTACAAAAGGAGAACCTGGTCCATACTGATTTATAGCTTGTTTAAATTCTTTGAGTAATTTAAAAGGAAAAGGCTCAAATGTAGCTGTAATATTTCCCTGTTGACCTGGTGGGTGTATTCTAACAGGGAACTGCCAAGCCTCTTTATCACCCTCTCGTCTAGCTTGCTGAATTCCTGCCTGAATAGAACTAAGAGTGGTCGCTCGAGGCACTGCTTGAACAGTCACTGGGGCAACTACTTTTTGCTGTGTCCTCCAGAAAAGAAAGATCTGGAGGGTCTTTTTCTTCAAAATAATAAGGAGGGGGTGCAGAAGGGTAGGGATGAACCTCTCCTTCCTTTGCCACTTTAGCTTTAGCTGGTAAATAAACATGCTCTGTAACCTCTTCTGTTGTTTCATTATACTCGCGTTTGTCCTCATCATCAGTGTGAAAAAGTTCCAAGGTGGAATGAACCAGACCCCATACCTGTCCCATTGTTACCCTGACGCTTCCGAGCTCCCCTTCTTACTCACCATGGGGATTGCTTTAAGAGTATTTACTTGTCCTCCAGCTAGTTTTCCATTCCAACCATTGCTCCAGTGAGCCTTCAACCTGGATTCGAGCCCCCACAATGGATGCCACTTGCCGAGACCAGCTCGGTTGGGGAGACCCTAACCCAAGAGTGCTAGAGGAATTAAAGACACACACATAAATATAGAGGTGTGAAGTGGGAAATCGGGGTCTCACAGCCTTCAGAGCTGAGAGCCCCGAACAGAGATTTACCCACATATTTATTAACAGCAAACCAGTCATTGGCATTTTTTCTATAGATATTAAATTAACTAAAAGTATCCCTTATGGGAAACGAAGGGATGGGCTGAAGTAAAGGAATAGGTTGGACTAGTTAACTGCGGCAGGAGCATGTCCTTAAGGCACAGATCGCTCATGCTATTGTTTGCGGCTTAAGAATGCCCTTAAGTGGTTTTCTGCCCTGGGCAGGCCAGATGTTCCTTGCCCTCACTCCCGTAAACCCACAACCTTCCAGCGTGGGTGTTAGGGCCATTATGAACATATTACAGTGCTGCAGAGATTTTGTTTATAGCCAGTTTTGGGGCCGGTTTATGGCCAGATTTTGGGGGGCTTGCTCCCAACATGAGAGAGCGAGACTCTGTCTCAAAAAAAAAAATTATTATTATTTTTTTCTTTTACCTCTCTCAAACGATACTAATCACACTTGTTTAAAGCTCATTTTCTGATTATTCTGTTATGTTTATTTTGTCCGGAGTAAATTTATCTTCCCTATTTTGATTTTGCTGGTGGCTGTTCTAGTGTGAATTTCTTCATGTGTTTTGGAATTTTCATGTGCAAACCTCCTGATTAAGAGATTTTTATTTTTTCTCTCTGTTGACCCTGTTTGTCTTAATTGCCTCCATTCCCCCTCAAGGGAATCCTTGACCAGAATCAGGTTTTATATTTGTGGCTTGGGTCTGTCTAGCTATGCTATCAGAGATGTTACATTTCTAATCTGTGAGCTAGTGGATAGCTTGGCCCAGGTCCTGGATGTGAAGCTGTATCCCTTTTCTTCTGCCTCCCTAGGCCATGGCTATGGAAGTAGTCACTGCAGCACCTTTCAGCCTTTCTTTATGGGTAAAGTGGCCCTTAGTTTCAGCAGTGAGCCTGAATCCATCCCTTCTCTTTCTTGGGAGGACTTTTAGTTCCTGTTAACCTTCAGTAGCAAAATTCCTAGATAGGAGGCCCAGCATGTCTCAGCTTTGGTGTTTCT